>NC_000009.12:40893967-41059976 GCF_000001405.40 Homo sapiens
TTCATCTCACAGCGTTAAATCTTTCTTTTGATTGAGCAGTTTTGAAACTCTTTTTTTGTAGGATCTGGAAGTGGACATTTGGAGCAGTTTGAGGCCTGTGGTGGAAAAGGCAATATCTTCACATAAAAACTAGACAGAAGAATTCTGAACAACATCTTTGTGATGTGTGCATTCATCTCATAGTTGAAACTTTCTTTGAGCAGTTTGGAAATACTCCTTTTGTAGAATCTGTCAGTGGACATTTGGAGCGCTTTGAAGCCTATGGTAGAGAACAAAATATCTTCACATAATATCTAGACAGAAGCAATCTCAGAAACTTCTTTATGATATGTGCATTCACCTCACTGTATTAAACCTTTCTTTTGATAGAGGAGTTTTGAAACTCTCTTGTTGTAGAATCTGCAAGTGGACATTTGGATCAATTTGTGGCCTATGGTGAAAAAGTTAATATCTTCACATGAAAACTAGACAGAAGAATTCTGACAAACTTCTTTGTGATGTGTGCATTCATCTCACACAGTTGAACCTTTCTTTTGATTAAGCAGTTTGGAAACACTCTTTTTGTAGAATCTGCAAGAGGACATTTGGAGTACTGTACATTCATCTCACAGAGGTAAAACTTTCTTTGGATTGAACAGTTTTGAAACACTCCTTTTGGAGTATCCGCAAGTGGACATTTGGAGCGTTCTGAGGTCTATGTTGGACAACGAAATATCTTCACTTAAAAACTAGACAGAAGATTTCTGAGAAACTTCTTTGTGATGCATGTGCTCATCTCACAGAGTTGAATCTTTCTTTGGATTGAGCAGTTTGGAAACACACTTTTTGTACAATCTACAAGTGGAAATTGGAGCTCTTTGTGGCCTACAGTAGAAAAGGAAATATCTTCAAATAATATCTAGACAGAAGCAGTCTGAGAAATTTCTTTGTGATGTGTGCATTCATCTCACAGAGTTAAACGTTTCTTTTGATAGAGCAGTGTTGAAGCTCTCTTTTTGTATAATCTACAAGTGGACATTTGTAGCGCTTTGAGACCTATGGTAAAAAAGGAAATATCTTCATATAAAAACTAGACAGAAGAATTCTGAGAAACGTCCTTGTGATGTGTGCATTCATCTCACAGAGTTGAACCTTTCTTTCGATTCAGCAGTCTGGAAACACTCTTTTTGTAGAATATGCAAGTGGAGATTTGCAGCGCTTTGCAACCAATGGAAGAAAAGCAAATATCTTCACATAAAATCTAGACAGAAGCAATCTGAGAAACTTCTTTGTGATGTGTGCATTCATCTCACAGTGTTAACTCTTTCTCTTGATTGAGCAGTTTTGAGACTCTCTTTTTGTAGAGTCTACAAGTGGACATTTGTAGTGCTTTGAGGCCTATGGTGGAAATGGAATTATCTTCAAATAAAAACTAGATGGAAGCATTCTGAGAAACTTCTTTGTGATGTGTGCATTCATCTCCCAGAGTTGAATATTTCTTTTGATGGAGCAGCCTTGAAATACTCCTTTTGTAGTATCTGCAAGTGGACATTTTGAGTACTTTGAGGCCTATGGTGGAAAATGAAATATCTTCACATAAAAATTAGACAGAAGAATTCTGAGAAACTTCTTTGTGATGGGTGCCTTCTTTGCACAGAGTTGAACGTCTCTTTTGATTGACCGGGATGGAAACACTGTTTTTGCAGAATCTGCAAGTGGAAATTTGGTGTGCTTTGCTTCCTATGGTAGAAAAGGAAATATCTTCACATAAAAACTAGACAGAAGAATTCTGAGAAACTTCTTTGTCATGTGTGCATTTGTCTCTCAGAGTTTAACGTTTCTGTTCATTGAGCAGTTTTGAAACTCTCTTTTTGTAGGATCTGCAAGTGGACATTTGGGGCGCTTTGACACCTATGGTGGAAAAGGAAATATCTTCCCATAAAAAACAGACAGAAGAATTCTGAGAAATTACTTTGTGATGTGTGCACTCAACTGACAGAGTTAAACCTTTCTTTTGATTGAGCAGTTTGGAAACACTCTTTTTTGTAGAATCTGCAAGTGGACATTTGGAGTGCTTAGTGGCCTATGTTAGAAAAGGAAATATCTTCACATAAAATCTAGACAGAAGCAATCTGAGAAACTTCTTTGTGATGCGTGCATTCATCTCACAGAGTTCAACATTTCTTTTGATTGAGCAGTTTGGAAACACTCTTTTTGTAGAATCTGCAAGTAGACATTTGGAGAACTTTGCAGCCTCTGGTAGAAAAGGAAATATCTTCACATAAAATCTGGACAGAAGCAATCTGAGAAGCTTCTTTGTGATGTGTGCATTCATCTCATAGAGTTAAAACTTTATCTTGATTGAGCAATTTTGAAACTCTCTTTTTGTAGAATCTGCTAGTGGACATTTGGAGTGCTTTGAGTCTTATGATTAAAAAGGAAATATCATCACACAAAAACTAGACTGAAGAATTTGGAGAAACTTCTTTGTAATGTGTGCATTCATCGCTCAGAGTTGAACCTTTCTTTTGATTGAGCAGTTTGGAAACACTTTTTTTTTTAATCTGCAAGTGGACATTTAGAGCGCTTTGCAGCCTATGGTAGAAAAGGAAATATCTTCACATAACATCTAGACAGAAGCAATCTGAGAAACTTCTTTGTGATGTGTGCATTCTTCCCATAGAGTTAAACCTTCATTTTGATTGAGGAGTTTTGAAACTCTCTTTTTGTAGAATCTGCAAGTAGACATTTGGAGCGCTTTGACGCCTACGGTGGAAAGGAAATATCTTCACATAAAAACTAGACAGAAGAATTCTGACAAACTTCTTTGTGATGTGTGCTGTCATCTCACAGATTTGAAAATTTCTTTTGATTCATCAGTTTGGAAACACTCTTTTTGTTGAATCTACAAATGGACATCTGGAGCACTTTTTGTCCTATGGAAGAAAATGAAGTATCTTCACATAAAATCTAGACAGAAACAATCTGAGAAACTTCTCTGTGATGTGTGCATTCACCTCACAGAGATAAACATTTCTTTTTATTGAGGAGTTTTGAAACTCTCTTTTTGTAGAATCTGCAAGTGGACATTTTTAATGCTTTGATGCCTAAGGTGGAAAAGGAAATATCTTCATATAAAAAGTAGACAGAAGAATTCTGAGAAACTTCTTTGTGATATGTGCTTTCATCTCACAGAGTTCAACTTTTCTTTTCATTGAGCAGTTTGGAAACACTCTTTTTGTGGAAACTGCAAGTGGACATTTTGTGTGCTTTGAGGCCTACAGTAGAAAAGGAAATACCTTCACATACAATCTAGACAGAAGCAATCTGAGAAACTTCTTTGTGATGTGTGTATTCATCTCACACAGTTAAGCCTTTCTTCTGATAGAGAAGTTTTGAAACTCTCTTTTTGTAGAATCTGCAAGTGGACATTTTTAGCGCTTTGACGTCTATGGTCGAAAAGGAAATATCGTCACATAAAAAGTAGACAAAAGAATTCTGAGAAATTTCTTTGTGATGTGTGCAGTCATCTCACAGAGTTAAACCTTTCTTCTGATTGAGCAGTTTTGAAACTCTTTTTGTAGAATCTGCAAGCGGACATTTTTAGCACTTTGAGGCCTATGGTGGAAAGGAAATAACTTCACATAAAAACTAGACGGAAGCATTCTGAGAAACGTCTTTGGATGTGTGCCTTCATCTCCCAGAGTTAAACGTTTCTTTTGATTGAGCAGTTTTGAACCTCTCTTTTTCTAGAAACTGCAAATGGACATTTGGAGTGCTTAGAGGTCTAATGTGGAAAAGGAAATATCTTCACATAAAAACTAGACAGAAGAATTCTGAGAAACTTCTTTGTGATGTATGTGTTCATCTCACAGATTTGAAACTTTCTTTTGATTGAGCAGTTTGGAGACACTCTTTTTGTAGAATCTGCAAGTGGACATTTCGAGTGCTTTGTGGCCTGTGGTAGAAAACGAAATATCTTCACATAAAATCTAGACAGAAGCAATCTGAGAAACTTCTTTGTGATGTGTGCATTCATCTCCCAGAGTTGAACCTTTCTTTTGTTGGACCAGCTTTAAAATACTCTTTTTGTAGAATCTGCAAGTGGACATTTCGAGCGTCTTGAGTCTATGGTGGAAAATGAAATATCTTCACATAAAAACTAGACAGAAGCATTCTGAGAAACTTGTTTGTGATGTGTTTGTTCATCTCACAGATTTGAACCTTTCCTTTGATTGAGCAGTTTAGAAACACTCTATTTGTAGAATCTGCAAGTGGATATTTGGAGCACGTTGTGGCCTACGGTAGAAAGGGAAATATCTTCACATAAAATCTACACAGAAGCAATCTGAGAAACTTCTTTGGGATGTGTGCATTCATCTCACAGAGTTAAACCTTCCTTTTGATTGAGGAGTTTTGAAACTCTCCTTTTTTAGAATCTGCAAGTGGACATTTGGAGCACTTTGAGGCCTAAGGTGGAAAGGAAATATCTGCACATAAAAACTAGACAGAAGAATTTTGACAAAATTCTTTGTGATGTGTGCTTTCATCTCACAGATTTGAAAATTTCTTTTGATTCAACAGTTTGGAAACACTCTTTTTGTAGAATCTGCAAGTTGACATTTGGAGCACTTTGCAGCCTATGGAAGAAAAGTAAATATCTTCACATAAAATCTAGACAGAAACAATCTGAGAAACTTCTCTGTGACGTGTGCATTCATCTCACAGAGTTAAACATTTCTTTTGATTGAGGAGTTTTGAAACTCTCTTTTTGCAGAATCTGCAAGTGGACATTTGGAGCCCTTTGAGGCCTATGGTGGAAAAGGAAATATCTTCACATAAAAACTAGACAGAAGAATTCTGAGAAACTTCTTTGTGATATGTGTGTTCATCTCACAGAGTTGAACTTTTCTTTTGATTGAGCAGTTTGGAAACACTCTTTTTGTACAAACTGCAAGTGTACATTTGGGGCGCTCTGTGGCCTACAGTAG
Source organism: Homo sapiens (assembly GCF_000001405.40). NCBI lineage: Eukaryota > Metazoa > Chordata > Mammalia > Primates > Hominidae > Homo > Homo sapiens. Next base: position 40,898,938 of record NC_000009.12, read on the forward strand.
AAAAGGAAATACCTTCACATAAAATCTAGACAGAAGCAATCTGAGAAAATTCTTTGTGATGTGTGCATTCAACTCACAGAGTTAAACCTTACTTTTTATTGAGCAGTTCTGAAACTCTTTCTGTAGAATCTTCAAGCGGACATTTGGAGTGGTTTGAGGCCTATGGTGGAAAAGTAAATATCTTCACACTAAAACTGGACAGAAGAATTCTGAGAAACTTCTTTGTGATGTGTGTGTTCGTCTCACAGAGTTAAGCCTTTCTTTTGACTGAGCTGTTTGGAAACACTCTTTTTGTAGAATCTGCAAGTAGACATTTGGAGCACTTTGGGGCCTATGGTAGAAAGGGAAATATCTTCCCATCAAATCTAGAGAGAAGCAATCTGAGAAACTTCTTTATGATGTGTGCATTCATCTCATAGAGTTAAACCTTTCTTTTGATTGAGCAGTTTTGAACCTCTCTTTTTGTAGAATCTGCAAGTGGACATTTGGAGCGCTTTGAGGCTTATGGTGGAAAGGGAAATATCTTCACATAAAAATTGGACAGAAGAATTCTGAGAAACTTCTTTGTGATGTGTGCATTCATCTCACAGAGTTAAACTTTTCTTTTTATTGAGCAGTTTGGAAAGCCTCTGTTTGTAGAATCTGCAAGTGGGTATTTGGAACGCTTTGCAGCCTATGGTAGAAAAGGAAATATCTTCACATAAAATCTAGAAAGAAGCAATCTGTGAAACTTCCTTGTGATGTGTACATTCATCTCACAGAGTTAAGCCTTTCTTTTGACTGAGCAGTTTTGAAACTCTCTTTTTGTAGTATCTGCAAGTGGACAATTTGAGCACTTTGAGGCCTCAGCTGGAAAAGGAAATATCTTCATGTAAAACTAGACAGAAGAATTCTGAGAAACTTCACTGTGATATGTGCATTCATCTCACAGAGTTGAACCTTTCTTTTTATTAAGCAGTTTGGAAACACTCTTTTTGTAGAATCTGCAAATGGACATTTGGAGCGCCTTCAGGCCTATGGTGGAAAGGAAATATCTTTACTTAAAAACTAGACAGGAGAATTCTGAGAAAATTCTTTGTGATGTGTGCATTCATCTCACAGACTTGAGCCTTTCTTTTGATTGAGCAGTTTGAAAACACTCTTTTTGTAAAATCTGCAAGTGGACATTTGGAGTGCTTTGCAGCCTTTGGTAGAAAAGGAAATATCTTCACATAAAATCTAGACAGAAGCAATCTGAGAAACTTCTTTGTGATGCGTGCATTCATCTCACAGAGTTCAACATTTCTTTTGATTGAGCAGTTTGGAAACACTCTTTTTGTAGAATCTGCAAGTAGACATTTGGAGCACTTTGTGGCCTGTGGTAGAAAAGGAAATATCTTCACATAAAATCTGCACAGAAGCAACCTGAGAAACTTCTTTGTGATGTGTGCATTCATCTAATAGAGTTAAAACTTTCTCTTGATTGAGCAGTTTTGAAACTCTCTTTTTGTAGAGTCTGCTAATGGACATTTGGAGTGCTTTGAGTCTTATGATTAAAAAGGAAATATCATCACATAAAAACTAGACTAAAGAAATTGGAGAAACTTTTTTTGTGATGCGTGCATTCATCGATCACAGTTGAACCTTTCTTTTGATTGAGCAGTTTGGAAACACTCTTTTTTTAGTATTTGCAAGTGGAAATTTAGAGCGCTTTGCAGCCTATAGTAGAAAGGAAATATCTTCACATAACATCTAGACAGAAGCAATCTGAGAAACTTCTTTGTGATGTGTGCATTCATCTCACAGAGTTAAACTTTCCTTTTGATTGAGGAGTTTTGAAACTCTCCTTTTTTAGAATCTGCAAGTGGACATTTGGAGCGCTTTGAGGCCTAAGGTGGAAAGGAAATATCTGCACATAAAAACTAGACAGAAGAATTCTGACAAACTTCTTTGTGATGTGTGCTTTCATCTCACAGATTTGAAAATTTCTTTTGATTCAACAGTTTGGAAACACTCTTTTTGTAGAATCTGCAAGTTGACAGTTGGAGCACTTTGCAGCCTGTGGAAGAAAAGGAAATATCTTCACATAAAGTCTAGACAGAAACAATCTGAGAAACTTCTCTCTGACATGTGCATTCATCTCACAGAGTTAAACATTTCTTTTGATTGAGGAGTTTTGAAACTCTCTTTTTGCAGAATCTGCAAGTGGACAGTTGGAGCCCTTTGAGGCCTATGGTGGAAAAGGAAATATCTTCACATAAAAACTAGACAGAAGAATTATGAGAAACTTCTTTGTGATACGTGTGTTCATCTCACAGAGTTGAACTTTTCTTTTGATTGAGCAGTTTGGAAACACTCTTTTTGTACAACCTGCAAGTGTACATTTGGTGCACTCTGTGGCCTACAGTAGAAAAGGAAATACCTTCACATAAAACCTAGACAGAAGCAATCTGAGAAACTTCTTTGTGATATGTGTATTCAACTCACAGAGTTAAACCTTTCTTTTGATTGAGCAGTTCTGAAACTCTTTCTGTAGAATCTTCAAGTGGACATTTGGAGCGGTTTGAGGCCTATGGTGGAAAAGTAAATATCTTCACATAAAAACTGGACAGAAGAATTCTGAGAAACTTCTTTGTGATATGTGAATTCGTCTCACAGAGTTGAGCCTTTCTTTTGATTGAGCAGTTTGGAATCACTCTTTTTGTAGAATCTGCAAGTGGACATTTGGAGTGCTTTGCGGCCTGTTGTAGAAAGGGAAATATCTTCATATCACATCTAGACAGAAGCAATCTGAGAAACTTCTTTATGATGTGTGCATTCATCTCATAGAGTTAAACCTTTCTTTTGATTGAGCAGTTTTGAAACTCTCTTTTTGTAGAAACTGCAAGTGGACATTTGGAGCGCTTTGAGGCCTATGGTGGAAAAGGAAATATCTTCACATAAAAACTAGACAGAAGAATTCTGAGAAACTTCTTTGTGATTTGTGCATTCATCTCACAGAGTTAAACTTTTCTTTTTATTGAGCAGTTTGGAAAGCCTCTGTTTGTAGAATCTGCAAGTGGATATTTGGAACGCTTTGCAGCCTATAGTAGAAAAGGAAATATCTTCACATAAAATCTAGAAAGAAGCAATCTGTGAAACTTCTTTGTGATGTGTGCATTCATCTCACAGAGTTAAGCCTTTCTTTTGACTGACCAGTTTTGAAACTCTCTTTTTGTAGTATCTGTAAGTGGACAATCTGAACACTTGGAGGCCTCAGCTGGAAAAGGAAATATCTTCATGTAAAACTAGACAGAAGAATTCTGAGAAACTTCATTGTGATATGTGCGTTCATCTCACAGAGTTGAAGCTTTCTTTTTATTAAGCAGATTGGAAACACGCTTTTTGTAGAATCTGCAACTGGACAGTTAGAGCGATTTGTGGCCTACTGTAGAAAAGGAAACATCTTCACATAAAATCCAGACAGAAGCAATCTGAAAAACTTCTTTGTGATGTGTGCATTCATCTCACAGAGTTAACCCTTCCTTTTGATTGAGGCGTTTTGAAACTCTCTTTTTGTGGAATCTGCAAGTGGACATTTGGAGCGTCTTCAGGCCTATGGTGGAAAGGAAATATCTTCACTTAAAAACTAGACAGAAGAATTCTGAGAAAATTCTTTGTGATGTGTGCATTCATCTCACAGACTTGAGCCTTTCTTTTGATTGAGCAGTTTGAAAACACTCTTTTTGTAAAATCTGCAAGTGGACATTTGGAGTGCTTTGCAGCCTTTGCTAGAAAAGGAAATATCTTCACATAGAATCTAGACAGAAGCAATCTGAGAAACTTCTTTGTGATGCATGCATTCGTCTCACAGAGTTCAACATTTCTTTTGATTGAGCAATTTGGAAACACTCTTTTTGTAGAATCTGCAGGTAGATATTTGGAGCACGTTGCGGCCTGTGGTAGAAAAGGAAATATCTTCACATAAAATCTGCACAGAAGCAACCTGAGAAACTTCTTTGTGATGTGTGCATTCATCTAATAGAGTTAAAACTTCATCTTGATTGAGCAGTTTTGAAACTCTCTTTTTGTAGAATGTGGTAGTGGACATTTGGAGTGCTTTGAGTCTTATGATTAAAAAGGAAATATCATCACACAAAAACTAGACTGAAGAATTTGGAGAAACTTTTTTTGTGATGCGTGCATTCATTGATCAGAGTTGAACATGACTTTTGATTGAGCAGTTTGGAAACACTCTTTTTGTTGAATCTACAAGTGGACATTTGGAGCGCTTTGCAGCCTACGGTAGAAAAGGAAATATCTTCACATAAAATCTAGACAGAAACAATCTGAGAAACTTCCCTGTGATGTGTGCATTCATCTCACAGAGTTCAACTTTTCTTTTGATTGAGCAGTTTGGAAACACTCTTTTTGTAGAAACTGCAAGTGGACATTTGGTGCACTTTGAGGCCTACGGTAGAAAAGGATATATCTTCATATAAAATGTAGACAGAAGCAATCTGAGAAACTTCTTTGCAATGTGTGCATTCATCTCACAGAGTTAAACCTTTCTTTTGATTGAACAGCTTTGAAACTCTTTTTGTACAATCTACAAGAGTACATTTGGAACGCTTCGAGGCCTATGGTGGAAAAGGAAATATCTTCACATAAAAACTAGACAGAAAAATTCTGAGAAATTTCTTTGTGATGTGTGAACTCATGTCACAGAGTTAAACCTTTCTTTTGATTGAGCAGTTTCAAAACTCTTTTTGTAGAATCTGCAAGTGGACATTTTTAGCGCTTTGAGGCCTATGGTGGAAAGGAAATATCTTCACATAAAAACTGGACAGAAGAATTCTGAGAAAGTTCTTTGTGATGTGTGCGTTTGTCTCACAGAGTTGAACCTTTCTTTCAATTGAGCAGTGTGGAAACACTGTTTTTGTAGAACCTGCAAATGGACATTTGGAGTGCTTTGTGGCCTATGGTAGAAAAGGAATTATCTTCACATAAAATCTAGACAGAAGCTATCTGAGAAACTTCTTTGTGACTTGTGCATTCATCTCGTGGAGTTAAACCTTTCTTTTGATTGAGCAGTTTTGAAACTCTCTTTTTGCAGAATCTGCAAGAGTACATTTGGAACGCTTTGAGGCCTATGGTGGAAAATGAAATATCTTCACATAAAAACTAGACAGAATAATTCTGAGAAACTTCTTTGTGATGTGTGCATTCATCTCACAATGTTAAACCTTTCTTTTGATTGAGCAGTTTTGAAACTCTTTTTGTAGAATCTGCACGTGGACATTTTTAGCCTTTGAGGCCTATGGTGGCAAGGAAATATCTTCAGATAAAAACTGGACAGAAGCAATCTGAGAAACTTCTTTGTTATGTGTGCATTCATCTCACAGAGTTGAACCTTTCTTTTGATTGAGCAGTTTGGAAACACTCTTTTTGTAGAATCTGCAAGTGAACATTTGAAGCGCTTTGCAGCCTATGGTAGAAAAGGAATTGTCTTCACATAAAATCTAGAGAGAAGCAAAACTTTCTTTTGATTGAGTAGTTTTGAAACTCTCTTTTCGTAGAAACTGCAAGTGGACATATGGAGCGCTTTGAGGCCTAAGCTCTAAAAGGAAATAACTTCCCATAAAAACTAGACAGAAGAATTCTGAGAAACTTCTTGTGATGTGTGAGTTCATCTCACAGAGTTGAACCTTTCTTTTATTGAGCAGTTTGGAAACTCTCTTTTTGTGGAATCTGCAAGTGGACACTTGGAGCGCTTTGCCGCCTGTGGTAGAAAAGGAAATATATTCACATAAAATCTAGACAGAAGCAATCTGAGAAACTTCTTTGTGATGTGTGCATTCATCTCACAGAGTTAAACTTTTCTTTTGCTTGAGAAATTTAGAAAGCTTCTGTTTGTAGAATCTGCAAGTGGACATTTAGAGCACTTTGCTGCCTATGGTAGAAAAGGAAATATCTTCACATAAAATCTAGACTGAAGCAATCTGAGAAAATTCTTCGTGATGTGTGCATTCATCTGACAGAGTTGAACCTTTCTTTTGATTGAGCAGTTTGGAAACACTCTTTTAGTAGAATCTGCAAGTGGATATTTGGGGCCCTTGGGGTCTGAATGATTGTCCCTCACATAGGATTGGTGAACACTGCTGCTGGGGTCTGAATGTTTGTCCCTCACATAGGATCCCAGAACACTGCTGCTGGGGTCTATATGTATGTCCGTCACGTGGGATTCCAAAACACTGCTGCTGGGTTCTGACTGTTTCTCCCTCTCATAGAATTCCATAGCACTGCGACGAGGTTCTGAATGTTTGTCCGTAACATAGGATTCCAGAACCCCCCGCCTGTTGTTTAAATGTTTGTCCCTCACATTGGATTCCAGAACACTGCTGCTGGATTCTGAATGTTTGTCACTCACAGAGGATTCCAGAACACTGCTACTATTGTCTGAATGTTTGTCCCTCACATAGGATTCTAGAACCCTCCTAAGAGTGTGTGAATGTTTGTTCCTCACATAGATTTCCAGATCACTGCTACGATTGTCTGAATGTTTGTCCTACACTTAGGATTCCAGAACACTGCTATGACAGTCGAATGATTGTCCCTCACACAGAATTCCAGAACACTGCTACGAGGGTCTGAATGATTGTCCCTCACATAGGATTCGAGGACACTGCTGCTGGGGTCTGAATGTTTTTCCCTCACATAGGATCCTAGAACACTGTTGCTGGGGTCTACATGTGTGTCTGTCACATAGGATTCCAAAACACTGCTGCTGGGTTCTGACTGTTTTTCCCTGACATAGAATTCAAGAACACTGCGACGAGGTTCTGAATGTTTGTCCGTAACATAGGATTCCAGAACGCCCCCTCCCCGTAGCTTAAATGTTTGTCCCTCACATTGGATTCCAGAACACTGCTACGATCGTCTGAATGTTTGTCCTTCACATAGGATTCCAAAACATTGCTACGGGGGTCTGAATGTTTGTTCTTCACATAGGATTCCAGAACACTCCTGCTGTGTTCTGAATGTTAGTTCCTCCTATAGGATTCACGAACACTGTCACGAGGTTCTGAATGTTTGTTCCGCACATAGGAATCCAAAACACTCCTGCTGTGTTCCGAGTGTTTGTCCCTCACATGGGATTCCAGAACAATCCTGCCGTGGTCTGAATGTGAGTCCCTCACATAGGTTTCTGGAACACTGCTGCTGGGTTCTGTGTGTTTCTCCCTCACGTAGAATTCCATAACACTGTGAAGAGATTATTAATGGTTGTCCGTAACATAGGATTCCAGAACAATCTCGGTGTTGTTTGAATGTTTTTCCCTTACATAGGTTTCCAGAACACTGCTACGTTTGTCTGAATGTTTGTCCCTCACATAGGATTCCAGAACACTGCTGGGAGGGTCTGAATGTTTTTCCCTCACATGGGATTCCAGAACACTGCTATGATTGTCTGAATGTTTGTCCCTCACTTAGGATTCCAGAACACAGCCACGAGGGTCTGAATGATTGTCCCTCACATGGGATTACAGAACAATCCTGCTGTGTTCTGAATGTTTGCCCCTCACATATAGTTACAGAACACTGCTGCTGGGTTCTGAGTGGTTGTCCATCACATGGGATTCCAGAACACACCTATGAGGGTCTGATTGTTTTTCTCTTACAAAGGATTACAGAACACTGCTGCTGGGGTCTAAAAGTTTCTCCATCACACACTATTCCAGAGCATTGCTATGAGGGTCTGAATGTTTGTCCCTCATTTAGAATTCCACAACACTTCTGCTGGGGTGTGAATGTTTGTCCCTCACACAAAATTCCAGAACACTGCTATGACGATCTGAATGACTGTCCCTCATTTAGGATTCCAAAACACTCCTGTTGTTTTCTGAGTGTTTGTCCCTCACCTAGGATTCCAGAACTATCCTCCTGTTGTCAGAATGTTTGTCTCTCACATAGGGTTTCAGAACACTGCTGCTGGGTTCTGAGTGTTTCTCCCTCACATAGGATTCCAGAACACTGCTACAAGGGTCTGAATGTTTGACCCTCACATAGGATCCCAGAACACTGCTGCTAGGGTCTAGATTTTTGTCCATCACACCGGATTCCAGAACCCTCCTAAGAGGGTCTGAATGTCTGTTCCTCACAGGGAATTCCAGAACACTCCTGCTGTGGTCTCAATGTTTTTCCCTCACACAGTACTACAGAACACTGCTACAGGAGTCAGAATGTTTGTCCCTCACGCAGAATTCCAGAACACTGGCACGAGTGTCTGAATGATTGGCCCTCACATAGGATTCCAGAACACTGTCGCTGGGGTCGTAATGTTTGTCCCTCACATAGGATTCCAGAACACTGCTTTTGGGTTCTGAGTGTTTCTCGCTCACATAGAATTCCAGAACACTGCGATGAGGGTCTAGAATGTTTGTCCATAACATAGGATTCCTGAACAATCCCGCTGTTGTTTGAATGTTTGTCCCTCACATAGGATTACGGAACACTGCTACGATTGTCTGAATGTTTGTCCCTCACATAGCATTCCAGAACACTGCTACGACTGTCTGAACGTTTATTCCTCACAGGGGATTCCAGAACACTCCTGCTATGGCCTGGATGATTGTCCCTCACATAGGATTCCAGAACACTGCTATGAGGGTCTGAAAGTTTGTGCTTGACACAGAATTCCAGAACACTGCTACGAGGGTCTGAATGACTGTCCCTCACATAGGATTCCAAAACACTGCTGCTGGGGTCTACATGTATGTCCGTCACATAGGATTCCAGAACACTGCTATTGGGTTCTGACTGTTTCTCCCTCACATAGAATTCCAGAACATTGTGACGAGCGTCTGAATGTTTGTCCGCAACATAGGATTCCAGAACACTCTCGCTCTTGTTTGTATGTTTGTCCCTCACATAGGATTCCAGAACACTGCTGCTGGTGTCCGAATGTTTGTCCCTCACATATGATTCCAGAACACTGCTTCGATTGTCTGAATGTCGGTCCCTCACATAGGAATCTAAAACGTTGCTATGTGGGTCTGAACGTTTGTTCCTCACATAGAATTCCATAACACTGCTGCTATTGTCTGAATGTTTGTACCTTACATAGGATTCCAGAACTCTGCTTCGAGGATCTGAATGTTTGTTCCTCACATAGGATTTCAGAACCCTGCTGCTGTGGTCTAAATCTTTGTCCATCACATAGGATTCCAGAACACTGCTAGGAGGGTCTGAATGTTTTTCCCACAGTGGGGATTCCAGAACTGTGTGGTCTGAATGTTTGTCCTTCATACAGGATTCCCAAACACTGCTATGAGGGAATGAATGTTTGTCCCTCACAAAGGATTCCAGAAAATTGCTACGATTGTCTCAGTGTTTGCCCCCACATAGGATTCTGGAACACAGCTACGAGGGTTTGATTGTTTGGCCCTCACGTAGGATTCCAAAACATTCCTATGGTTTTCTGAGGGTTTCTCCCTCACATAGGATTGCAGAACAATCCTGCCGTGTTCTGAATGTTTGTCCCTCATACAGAGTTCCAGAACACTGCTGCTTGGTTCTGAATGTTTGTCCCTCACATAGGATTCCAGAACACTGCTTCGAGGGTCTGAATGTTTGTTCCTCACATAGGATTCCAGAACATTGCTGCTGGGGTCTAAATGTTTGTCCCTCACATAGGATTCCAGAACACTGGTATGGGGGTCTGAATGTTGGATCCTCACAGGGGATTCCAGAATACTCCTGCTGTGGTCTGAATGTTTGTCAATCACATGGGATTCCAGAACACTGCTACGAGGGTCTGAATGTTTGTCCCTCACATAGGATACTAAAACACTCCTGCAGTATTCTGAGAGTTCGTTCCTCACATAGAATTCCAGAGCATACCTGCTTTGGCCTGAATCTTTGTCCCTTACATAATTTTCCAGAACACCGCTGCTTGTTTCTGAGAGTTGGTCTCTCAGATAGGATACCAGAACACTGCTACGAGGGTCTCAATGTTTGTCCCTCACATTGCATTCCAGAGCACTGCTGGCGTCTAAATGTTTGTCCATCACATAGGATTTCAGAACACTGTTAGGGGTCTGAATGTCTGTTCCTCACAGGAGATTCCAGAACACTCCTGCTGTGGTCTGAATGATTGTCCCTCACATAGGATTCCAGAACACTGCTATGGGGGTCTGAATGTTTATCCCTCATGAAGAATTCCAGGACACTGCTACGACGATCTGAATGTTTGTCCCTCACATAGGATTCCAAAACACTCCTGCTGTTTTCTGAGTGTATATCCCTCACATCGGAGTCCAGAACAATCCTGCTGTTGTCTGAATGTTTGTCCCTCACATAGGGTTCCTGAATGCTGCTGCTGGTTTCCGAGTGTTTGTCCTTCTCATAGGATTCCAGACAATTCGACGAAGGTCTGAATATTTGTCCCTCACATGGGATTCCAGAACACTGCTGCTGGGGTCTACATGTATGTCCATCATATAGGATTCCAGAAAACTGCTGCTGGGTTCTGAGTGTTCCTCCCTCACGTACAATTCCAGAACACTGCAATGAGCGTCTGAATGTTTGTCCATAACATAGGATTCCAGAACACTCCCGCTGTTGATTCAATGTTTTTCCCTTACATAGGATTCCAGAAAACTGCTAGGATTGTCTGAATGTGTGTCCCTCACATAGGATTCCAGAACACTGCTACGAGGGTCTGAATATTTGTCCTTAACGTAGGATTGCAGAACACTTGTGTTGGGGTCTGAATGTTTGTCCCTCACATAGGATTCCAGAAAACTGCTACGATTGTCTGAATGTGTGTCCCTCACATAGGATTCCAGAACACTGCTACGAGGGTCTGCATATTTGTCCTTAAAGTAGGATTGCAGAACACTGTTATAATTGTCGGAAAGTTTGTCCCTCACATAGGATTCCAGAACACTTCTACGAGGGTCTGAATGTTTGTCCCTCACATAGGATTGCAAAACACTGAAGCTGTGTTCCGAGTGTTTGTCCCTCATATAGGGACCCAGAAAAATGCTGCTGGGTTCTGAGTGTTTGTCCCTCACACAGGATTCCAGAACACTGCTACTAGTGTCTGAATGTTTGTCCCTCACATAACACTCCAGAACACTGCTGCTGGGGTCTCAATGTTTGTCAGTCACACAGGATTCCAGAACACTGCTACGATAGCCTGAATGTTTGTTCTTCAGAGGGGATTCCAGAATACTCCTGCTGTGGTCTGAATGCTTGTTCCTCACACAGGACTCCAGAACACTGCTACGAGGGTCTGAATGATTGTCTCTCACATAGGATTGCAAAATAGTCCAGCTGTCTTCTGAGTGTTTGTCCATCACATAGGATTCCAGAACACTCCTGCTGTGGTCTGAAAGTTTGTCCCTCACACAGAATTCCAGAACACTGATACGAGGTTCTCAATGATTGTCCCTCACACAGTATTCCAGAACACTGCTGCTGGGGTCTGAATGAATATTCCTCACATAGCGTTCCACAGCACTGCTTCTGGGGTCTTCATGTATGTCTGTCACATAGGATTTCAGAACACTGCTGCTGGGTTCTGGGTGTTTCTCCCTCACATAGCATTCTAGAACACTGTGATGAGAGCCTGAATGTTTGTCTGTAACATAGGATTCCAGAACACTCCCACTGTTGTTTGAATGTTTGTCCCTCACATAGGATTCCAGAACACTGCTGCTGGGGTATACATGTGTGTCTGTCACATAGGATTCCAGAGCACTGCTGCTGGGTTCTGAGTCTTTCTCCCTCACATAGAACTCCAGAGCACTGCGACGAGGGTCTGAAAGTTTGTTTGCAATAAAGGATTCCAGAACACTCCCGTTGTTGTTTCAATGTTTGTAACTTACATAGGATTCCAGAATACTTCTGCTGAGGTCTAAATGCTTGTCCGTCACTTAGGATTCCAGAACACTGCTACGAGAGTGTGAATGTTTGTCCCTCACACAGAATTCCAGAACAGTGCTACGATGGTCTGAATGATTGTCCCTCACATGGGACTCCAGAACACTGCTGCTGGGTTCTGAATATTTGTCCCTCACATAGGATTCCAGAACACGGCTGCAGGGGTCTACATGTATGTCCGTCACATGGGATTCCAGAACAATGCTGCAGGATTCTGAGTGTTCCTCCCTCACATAGAATTCCAGAAGACTGCGACGAGGGTCTGAATATTTGTCCGTAACATAGGATTCCAGAAGACTCCTGCTGTTGTTTGAATGTTTGTCCCTCACATAGGATTCCAGAACACTGCTGCTTGAGTCTGAAGGTTTTTTCGTCACACAGGATTCCAGAACCCTGCTACAATTGTCTGAATGTTTGCCACTCCATAGGATTCCAGAACACTGCCACGAGGGTCTGAAAGTTTGTCCCTCACTGTGGATTCCAGAACACTCTGCTGTGGTCTGAATGTTTGTCCCTCACTTAGGATCCAGAACAGTGATACGAGGGTCTGAATGTTCTTCCCTCACTTAGGACTCTAGAACACTGCTACGATTGTCTGAATGTTTGTCCCTCACATAGGATTCCAGAACACTGCTACGATTGTCTGAATGTTTGTCCCTCATATAGGATTCCAGAACACTCCTGTTGTGGTCTGAATGTCTGTCCCTCATATAGGGTTGCAGAACACTGCTGCTAGATTCTCAGTGTTTGTCCCTCACATAGGATTCTGGAACACTGCTACAAGGGTCTGAATATTTGTCACACACACATAGGATTCCAAAACACTGCTGCTGGGGTCTGAATGTTTGTCCCTCACATAGGATTCCAGAACACTGCTGCTGGGGTCTACATGTATGGCCGTCACATGGGGTTCCAGATCCCTGCTGCTGGGTTCTGAATGTATCTCCCTCACATAGAACTCCAGAACACTGCAACAAGAGTCTGAATGTTTCTCCGTAACATAGCATTCCGGAACACTCTCACTGTTGTTTGAACGTTTGTCCCTCACATAGGACTCCAGAACACTGCTACTGGGGTCTGAGTGTTTGTCCCTCACATAGGACTCCAGAACACTGCCACGAGGCTCTGAATGTTTATTCCTTACAGGGGATTCCAGAACACTCCTGTTGTGTTGTGAATATTTGTCCCTCACACAGGAGTCCAGAACACTCCTATGAGGCTCTGAATTTTTGTCCCTCACACAGAATTCCAGAACACCGCTATGAGGGTCTGAATGATTTTCCCTCACATAGCATTCCAGAACACTGCTGCTGGAGTCTGAATGTTTGTCCCTCACATAGGATTCCAGAAAACTGCTGCTGGTTTCTGAGTGCTTCTCCCTCATACAGAATTCCAGAAAACTGTGACGAGGGTCAGAATGTTTGTCCGTAACATAGGATTGCAGAACACTCCCGCTGTTGTTTGAATGTTCATAACTCGTATAGGATTCCAGAACACTGCTGAGAGTGTCTGAATGTTTGTCCCTCACATAGGATTCCAGAACACTCCTGCTGTGGTCTGAATGTTTGTCCCTCACATAGGATTACTGAACACTGCTAAGAGGGTATGAATGTTTGTCCCTCACATAGGATTCCAAAATATTCCTGCTGTGTTCTGAGTGTTTGTCCCTCACATAGGATTCCAGAACAATCCTGCTGTGGTGAGAATGTTCATTCCTCACATAGGGTCCCAAAACCCTCCTGCTGTGTTCTGAATGTTTCTCCCTCACATAGGATTCCAGAACACTGCTATGAGGTTCTCAATGATTGTCCGTCTCATAGGATGCCAAATATTCCTGCTGTATTCTGAGTGTTTCTCCCTCACATAGGATTCCAGAACACTGCTGCTGGGGTCTGAATGTTTGTCCCTCACTTAGGATTCCAGAACACTACCACGATTGTCTGACTGTTTGTTGCTCACATAGGATTCCGGAACACTGCAACGAGGGTCTGAATGTTTGTCCGTCACATAGGATTCCAGAACAATCCTGCTGTGGTCTGTATGTTTGTCCCTCACATAGGATTCCTGAGCACTGCTATGAGGGTCTGAATGTTTGTCCCCCACATAGGATTCCAAAACACTCCTGCTGTGTTCTGAGTGTTTGTCCCTCACATAGGATTCCAGAACAATCCTGCTGTGTTCTGAAGGTTTGTCCCATACATAGGGTTCCAGAACACTGCTGCAGTGTTATGAGTGATTCTCCCTCACATAGAATTCCAGAACACTATGACGAGGGTCTGAATGTTCGTCCATAAAATAGGATTCCATAACACTCTCGATGTTGTTTAAATGTTTGTCCCACACATAGCATTCCAGAACACTGCTACTGGTGTCTGAATGTTTGTCCCACACATAGTATTCCAGAATCTGCTATGATTGTCTGAAGGTTTGTCCCTCACATAGGATTCCAGAACACTGCTAGGTTCTGAATGTTTGTCCCTCACCTAGGATTTCAGAACACTGCTCCTCGAATATAAATATTTATCCTTCACATAGGATTCCAGAACACAGCTATGAGGGTCTGAATGTATGTTTCCCACGTAGGATTCCAAAACACTCCTGCTGTGTTCTGAGTGTTTGTCCCTCACATAGGATTCCAGAACAATCCTGCTGTGTTCTGAAGGTTTGTCCCATACATAGGGTTACAGAGAACTGCTGCAGTGTTATGAGTGATTCTCCCTCACATAGAATTCCAGAACAGTACGACGAGGGTCTGAATGTTCGTCCGTAAAATAGGATTCCGTAACACTCTCGATGTTGTTTAAATGTTTGTCCTGCACATAGCATTCCAGAACACTGCTACTTGTGTCTGAATGTTTGTCCCATACATAGTATTCCAGAATCTGCTATGATTGTCTGAATGTCACTCACCTAGGATTTCAGAACACTGCTCGTCAGATATAAATATTTATCCATCACAGGATTCCAGAACACTGCTAAGAGGTTCTGAATGTTTGTTCTTCACAGTGGATTCCAGAACACTCCTGCTGTGGTCTGAATGTTTGTCCCTCACAAAGGAATCCAGAACAATGCTACGCAGGTCTCAATGTTTGTCCCTAACAAAGAATTCCAGAACACTGCTATGAGTGTCTGAAAGATTGGCCCTCTCATACGTTTCCAGAACTCTGCTGCTGGTGTCTGAATGTTTGTCCCTCACACAGGATTCCAGAACACTGCTACTGGGTTCTGAATTTTGTCCCTCAAACAGAATTCCAGATCACTGCTACGAGGGTCTGAATGATTGTCCCTTACGTAGGATTCCCTAACACTGTTGCTGGTTTCTGAATGTTTGTCCCTCACACAGGATTCCAGAACACTGCTGCAGGGGTTTACATGTATGTCCATCACATAGGATTCCATGACACTGCCACTGGGTTCTGAGTGTTACTCCCTCATGTAGAAATAAAGAACATGGTGACGAGGGTCTGAATGTTTGTCCATAAACAGGATTCCAGAACACTGCTAAGAGGATATTAATGTTTGTCCCTCACATAAGATTCCAAAACACTCCTGCTTTGATCTGAGTGATTGTCCCTCACATACGATTCCAGAACCCTACTGCTGGGTTTTGAGTGTTTCTACCTCACATAGATTTGCAGAAGACTGCAACAGGGGTCTGAATGTTTGTCCGTAACATAGGACTCCAGAACACTCCAGCTGTTGTTAGAATGTTTGTCTCTCACATAGGATTGCAGAACACTTCTTCTTGGGTCTGAACGGTTGTCTCTCACACAGGATTCCAGAACACTAATACGATGGTCTGAATGTTTATCCCTCATGTAGGATTCCAGAACACTGCTGTGAGGGTCTGCATGTTTGTCCCTCAGATAGGATTCCTGAACCATCCTGCAGTGGTCTGAATGTTTGTCCCTCACACTGGATTCCAGAACTCTGCTACAAGGGTCTAAATGTTGTCCCTCCCATAGGATTGCAATACACTAATGCTTTTTTCTGAGTGTTTCTCCCTCACATAGGATTCCAGAACAATCCTGCTGTGGTCTGATTGTTTGTCCCTCACATAGGGTTCCAGAACACTGCTGCTAGGTTCTGAGTGTTTATCCGTCACAGAGCATTCCAGAACACTGCTGCTAGGTACTCATTGTTTCTCCCTCACATAGAATTCCAGAAAACTGTGACTAGGGTCTGAATGTTTGTGCATAACATAGGATTCCAGAACACTCCCGCCCTTGTTTGAATGATTTTCCTTCACATAGGATTCCAGGACGCTGCTAGGAGGGTCTGAATGTTTGTTCCACACAGGGGATTCAAGAACACTCCTGACTTGATCTGAATGTTTGTCCCTCACATAGGATTCCAGAACACTGCTATGAGGTTGTGAAAGTTTGTCCCTCATAAGGAATTCCAGAACACTGCTATGATGCTCTGAATGTTTGTCTCTCACATAGGAATCCAAAACACTCTTGCTGTAGTCTGAGTGTTTGTCCCTCACAAAGGATTCCAGAACAATCCTGCTGTGGTCTGAATGTTTGTCCCTCACATAGGATTCCAGAACACTGCTAAGAGGGTATGAATGTTTGTCCCTC
The DNA here is from genome assembly GCF_000001405.40 of Homo sapiens. Lineage (NCBI taxonomy): Eukaryota > Metazoa > Chordata > Mammalia > Primates > Hominidae > Homo > Homo sapiens. Next base: position 40,915,425 of record NC_000009.12, read on the forward strand.
ACATAGGATTCCAAAACACTCGTACTGTGTTCTTAGTGTTTCTCCCTCACATAGGATTCCAGAACACCGCTGCTGGAGTCTAAATGTTTGTTCATCACATAGGATTCCAGAACATTGCTATGAGGTTATGAATGTTTGTTCCCCACAGGGGTTTCCAGAACACTCCTGCTTTGGTCTGAATGTTTACCCCTCACACAGGATTCCAGAACACTGCTACAAGGGTTTGAATGTTTCTACCTCACATAGAATTCCAGCACTCTGTGATGAGGTTCCGAATGTTTGTGCATCACATAGAATTCCAGAACACTGCTACGATTGTCTGAATGTTTGCCCATCACATGGGATTCCAGAACACTGGAAGGCAGCCAAGATGGCCGAATAGGAACAGCTCTGGTCTACAGCTCCCAGCGTGAGCGACACAGAAGATGGATGATTTGTGCATTTCCGTCTGAGGTACTGGGTTCATCTCACTAGGAAGTGCCAGCCCTACAGTGGGTGCAGGAGAGTGGGTGCAGTGCACTGTGCAGGAGCTGAAGCAGGGTGAGGCATTGCCTCACTCAGGAAGTGCAAGGGGTCAGGGAGTTCCCTTTCCTAGTCAAAGAAAGGGGTGACAGATGGCACCTGGAAAATCGGGTCACCCTCTCCTGAACACTGCGCTTTTCTGACAGGCTTAAAAACCGGTGCAACAGGAGATTATATCCCGCACCTGGCTCGGAGGGTCCTATGGCTATGGAGTATGGCTGATTGCTAGCACAGCAGTCTGAGTTCAAGCTGCAAGGCAGCAGCGAGGCTGCAGGAGGGGCGTCCACCATTGCCCAGGCTTGCTTAGGTAAACAAAGCAGCCAGGAAGCTCAAACTGGGTGGAGCCCACCACACCTCAAAGAGGCCTGCCTGCCTCTGTAGGCTCCACCTCTGGGGGCAGGGCACAGACAAACAAAAAGACAGCAGTAACCTCTGCAGACTTAAATGTCCCTGTCTGACAGCTTTGAAGAGAGCAGTGGTTCTCACAACACGCAGCTGGAGATCTGAGAATGGGCAGACTGCCTCCTCAAGTGGGTCCCTGACCCCTGACCCTCTAGCAGCCTAACAGGGAGGCAACCCCCAGTAGGGGCAGACAGACACCTCATATGGCTGGGCAATCCACTGAGACAAAATTTCCAGAGGAACGATCAGACAGCAGCATTCGCGGTTCATGAAAATCCACTGTTCTGCAGCCAACACTGCTGTTACCCAGGCAAACAGGGTCTGGAGTGGACGTGTAGCAAACTCCAACAGACCTGCAGCTGAAGGTCCTGTCTGTTAGAAGGAAAACTAACAAACAGAAAGGACATCCACACCAAAAACCCATCTGTACATCACCATCATCAGAGACCACAAGTAGATAAAACCACAAAGATGGGGAAAAAAACAGAGCAGAAAAACTGGAAACTCTAAAAAGCAGAGCACCTCTCCTCCGCCAAAGGAATGCAGTTCCTCAACAGCAATGGAACAAAGATGGACAGGGAATGACTTTGACGAGTTGAGAGAAGAAGGCTTCAGATGATCAAACTACTCCAAGCTACAGAAGGAACTTCAAACCAAAGGCAAAGAAGTTGAAAACTTTGAAAAAAATTTAGACGAATGTATAACTAGAATAACCAATACAGAGAAGTGCTTAAAGGATCTGATGGAGCTGAAAGCCAAGGCTCGAGAACTACGTGAAGAACGCAGAAGCCTCAGGAGCCAATGCGATTAACTGGAAGAAAGGGTATCAGAGATGGAAGATGAAATGAATGAAATGAAGCGAGAAGGGAAGTTTAGAGAAAAAAGAATAGAAAGAAATGAACAAAGCCTCCAAGAAATATGCGACTATGTGAAAAGACCAAATCTACGTCTGATTGGTGTACCTGAAAAAGATGGAGAGAATGGAACCAAGTTGGAAAACACTCTGCAGGATATTATCCAGGAGAACTTCCCCAATCTAGCAAGGCAGGTCAACATTCAGATTCAGGAAATACAGAGAATGCCACAAAGATACTCCTCGAGAAGAGCAACTCCAAGACACATAATTGTCAGATTCACCAAAGTTGAAATGAAGGAAAAAATGTTAAGGGCAGCCAGAGAGAAAGGTCGGGTTACCCTCAAAGGGAAGCCCATCAGACTAAGAGCGGATCTCTTGGCAGAAACTCTACAAGCCAGAAGAGAGTGGGGGCCAATATTCAACATTCTTAAAGAAAAGAATTTTCAACCCAGAATTTCATATCCAGCCAAACTAAGCTTCATAAGTGAAGGAGAAATAAAATACTTTACAGACAAGCAAATGATGAGAGATTTTGTCACCACCAGGCCTGCCCTAAAAGAGCTCCTGAAGGAAGCACTAAACATGGAAAGGAACAACCGGTACCAGCCACTGCAAAATCATGCCAAATTGTAAAGACCATCCAGGCTAGGAAGAAACTGCATCAACTAACAAGCAAAATAACCAGCTAACATCATAATGACAGGATCAAATTCACACATAACAATATTAACTTTAAATGTAAATGGACTAAATGCTCCAATTAAAAGACACATACTGGCAAAATGGATAAAGAGTCAAGACCCATCAGTGTGCTGTATTCAGGAAACCCATCTCACGTGCAGAGACACACATAGGCTCAACATAAAAGGATGAAGGAAGATCAACCAAGCAAATGGAAAACAAAAAAAGGCAGCGGTTGCAATTCTAGTCTCCGATAAAACAGACTTTAAACCAACAAAGATCGAAAGAGACAAAGAAGGCCATTATATAATGATAAAGGGATCAATTCAACAAGAAGAGCTAACTATCATAAATATATATGCACCCAATACAGGAGCACCAGGATTCATAAAGCAAGTCCTGACTGACCTACAAAGAGACTTAGACTCCCACACAATAATAATGGGAGACTTTAACACTGCACTGTCAACATTAGACAGATCAATGAGACAGAAAGTCAACAAGGATACCCAGGAATTGAACTCAGCTCTGCACCAAGCAGACATAATAGACATCTACAGAACTCTCCAACCCAAATCAACAGAATATACATTTTTTTCAACACCACACCACACCTATTCCAAAACTGACCACATAGTTGGAAGTAAAGCACTCCTCAGCAAATGTAAAAGAACAGAAATTATAACAAACTGTCTCTCAGACCACAGTGCAATCAAACTAGAACTCAGTATTAAGAAACTCACTCAAAACTGCTCAACTACGTGGAAACTGAACAACCTGCTCCTGAATGACTACTGGGTACATAACGAAATGAAGGCAGAAATAAAGATGTTCTCTGAAACCAACGAGAACAAAGACACAACATACCAGAATCTCTGGGACACATACAAAGCAGTGTGTAGAGGGAAATTTATAGCACTAAATGCCCACAAGAGAAAGTGGGAAAGATCCAAAATTGACACCCTAACATCACAATTAAAAGAACTAGAAAAGCAAGAGCAAACACATTCAAAAGCTAGCAGAAGGCAAGAAATAACTAAAATCAGAGCAGAACTGAAGGAAATAGAGACACAAAAAAACCCTTCAAAAAATTAATGAATGCAGGAGCTGGTTTTTTGAAAGGATCAACAAAATTGATAGACCACTAGCAAGACTAATAAAGAAGAAAAGAGAGAAGAATCAAATAGACTCAATAAAAAATGATAGAGGGGATATCACCACCAATCCCACAGAAATACAAACTACCATCAAAGAATACTACAAACACCTCTATGCCAATAAACTAGAAAATCTAGAAGAAATGGATAAATTCCTCGACACATACACCCTCCCAAGACTAAACAAGGAAGTCGAGTCTCTGAATAGACCGATAACAGGCTCTGAAATTGTGACAATAACCAATAGCTTACCAACCAAAATGAGTCCAGGACCAGATGGATTCACAGCCGAATTCTACCAGAGGTAAAAGGAGGAACTGGTACCATTCCCTCTGAAACTATTCCAATCAATAGAAAAAGAGGGAATCCTCCCTAACTCATTTTATGAGGCCAGCATCATCCTGATACCAAGGCCAGGCAGAGACACAACCAAAAAAGAGAATTTTAGACCAATATCCTTGATGAATATTGATGAAAAATCCTCAATAAAGTACTGGCAAAACGAATCCAGCAGCACATCAAAAAGCTTATCCACCATGATAAAGTGGGCTTCATCCCTGGGATGCAAGGCTGGTTCAATATATGCAAATCAATAAATGTAATCCAGCATATAAACAGAACCAAAGACAAAACCCACATGATTATCTCAATAGATGCAGAAAAGGACTTTGACAAAATTCAACAACCCTTCATGCTAAAAACTCTCAATAAATTAGGTTTTGATGGGACGTATCTCAAAATAATAAGAGCTATCTATGACAAACCCACAGCCAATATCATACTGAATGGGAAAAAACTGGAAGCATTTCCTTTGAAAACACAGAAGACAGGGATGCCCTCCCTCACCACTCCCATTCAACATAGTGTTGGAAGTTCTGGCCAGGGTAATCAGGCAGGAGAGGGAAATAAAGGGTATTCAATTAGGAAAAGAGGAAGTCAAATTGTCCCTGTTTGCAGATGACATGATTGTATGTCTAGAAAACCCCATTGCCTCAGCCCAAAATCTCCTTAAGCTGATAAACAAATTTGGCAAAGTCTCAGGATACAAAATCAATGTACAAAAATCACAAGCATTCTTATACACCAATAACAGACAGAGAGCCAAATCATGAGTGAACTCCCATTCACAATTGCTTCAAAGAGAATAAAATACCTAGGAATCCAGCTTACAAGAGACGTGAAGGAACTCTTCAAGAACTACAAACCCCTGCTCAATGAAATAAGAGGATGCAAACAAATGGAAGAACATTCCATGCTCATGGGTAGGAAGAATCAATATTGGGAAAATGGCCATACTGCCCAAGGTAATGTACAGATTCATTGCCATCCCCAACAAGCTACCAATGACTTTCATCACAGAAATGGAAAAAACTACTTTAAAGTTCATATGGAACCAAAAAAGAGCCCGCATCGCCAAGTCAATCCTAAGCCAGAAGAACAAAGCTGGAGGCATCACGCTACCTGATTTCAAACTATACTACAAGGCTACAGTCACCAAAACAGCATGGTACTGGTACCAAAACAGAGATATAGACCAATGGAACAGAACTGAGCCCTCAGAAATAACGTCACATATCTACAACTATCTGACCTTTGACAAACCTGACAAAAACAAGCAATGGGGAAAGGATTCCCTATTTAATAAATGGTGCTGGGAAAACTGGCTAGCCATATGTAGAAAGCTGAAACTGGATCCCTTCCTTACACCTTATACAAAAATCAATTCAAGATGGATTAAAGACTTAAATGTTAGACTTAAAACCATAAAAACCCTAGAAGAAAACCTAGGCATTACCATTCAGAACATAGGCATGGGCTAGGACTTCATGTCTAAAACACCAAAAGCAATGGCAACAAAAGACAAAATTGACAAATGGGATCTCATTAAACTAAAGAGCTTCTGCACAGCAAAAGAAACTACCATCAGAGCAAACAGGCAACCAACATAATGGGAGAAAATTTTCGCAACCTACTCATCTGACAAAGGGCTAATATCCAGAATCTACAATGAACTCAAACAAATTGACAAGAAAAAAACAAACAACCCCATCAAAAAGTGGGTGAAGAACATGAACAGACACTTCTCAAAAGAAGACATTTATGCAGCCAAAAAACACATGAAAAAATGCTCACCATCACTGGCCATCAGAGAAATGCAAATCAAAACCACAATGAGATACCATCTCACACCAGTTAGAATGGCAATCATTAAAAAGTCAGGAAACAACAGGTGCTAGAGAGGATGTGGATAAATAGAAACACTTTTACACTGTTGGTGGGACTGTAAACTAGTTCAACCATTGTGGAAGTCAGTGTGGCGATTCCTCAGGGATCTAGAACTAGAAATACCATTTGACCCAGCCATCCCATTACTGGGTATATACCCAAAGGACTATAAATCATGCTGCTATAAGGACACATGCACACGTATGTTTATTGTGGCACTATTCACAATAGCAAAGACTTGGACCCAAGCCAAATGTCCAACAATGATAGACTGGATTAAGAAAATGTGGCACATATACACCATGGAATACTATGCAGCCATAAAAAATGATGAGTTCATGTCCTTTGTAGGGACATGGATGAAATTGGAAATCATCATTCTCAGTAAACTATCACAAGGAGAAAAAACCAAACACCACATGTTCTCACTCGTAGGTGGGAATTGAACAATGAGAACACATGGACACAGGAAGGGGAACATCACACTCCGGGGACTGTTGTGGGGTGTGGGGAGGGGGGAGGGATAGCATTAGGAGATATACCTAAGGCTAAATGACGAGTTAATGGGTGCAGCACACCGACATGGCACATGTATACATATGTAACTAACCTGCACATTGTGCACATGTACCCTAAAACTTGAAGTATAATAATAATTAAAAAAAGGAAACAACAGGTGCTGGAGAGGATGTAGGGAAATAGGAACACTTTTACACTGTTGGTGGGACCAGTTCAACCATTCTGGAAGTCAGTGTGGCAACTCCTCAGGGATCTAGAACTAGAAATACCATTTGACCCAGCCATCCCATTACTGGGTATATACCCAAAGGATTATAAATCATGCTGCTATAAAGACACATCCACACATATGTTTATTGCAGCACTATTCACATTAGCAAAGACTTGCAACCAACACATATGTCCAACAATGATAGACTGGATTAAGAAAATGTGGCACATGTACAGCATGGGATACTGTGCAGCCATAAAACATGATGAGTTCATGTCCTTTGTAGGGACATGGATGAAGCTGGAAACCATCATTCTCAGCAAACTATTGCAAGCACAAAAAACCAAACACCACATGTTCTCACTCATAGGTGGGAATTGAACAATGAGAACACATGGACACAGGAAGGGGAATATCACACACCGGGGACTGTTGTGAGTTGGGGGAAGCAGGGAGGGATAGCATCAGGAGATATACCTAATGTTAAATGACGAGTTAATGGGTGCAGCACACCAACATGGCACATGTATACATATGTAACAAACCTGCACGTTGTGCACATGTACCCTAAAACTTAAAGTATAATAAAAAAAAAGAAAAGCTAAAAAAAAAAAAAAGGATTCCAGAACACTGCTACGATTGTCTGAATGTTTGTTCCTCAAATAGGATTCTAGAATGCTCCTGCTGTGGTCTGAATGTTTGTCCCTCACATAGGATTCCTGAACACTGCTATGAGGTTCTGAGTGTTTATACCTCAGATAGGATTCCAAAATACTCTTGCTATTTTCTGAGAGTTTGTCCCTCCCATAGGATTCCAGAACATTGCTGCTGGGGTCTGAATGTTTGTCCCTCACATAGGATTCCAGAACACTGCTAGGATTGTCTGAATGTTTGTGTCTCACATGGAATTCCATAACACTGCTATTAGGGTCTGAAAGTTTGTCCTTCACAGAGGTTTCCAGGAAACTGCTACAATTATCTGAATGTCCGTTACGTAGGATTCCAGAACACTGCTATGAGGGTCTGAATGTTTGTCTCTTACATAGGATTCCAGAACACTGCAGATTTGGTCTGAATGTTTATCACTCACACAGGAATCCAGAACACTGCTATGATGGTCTGAATGTTCATTCCTCACATAGGATTCCAGAACACAGCTACAACCGTCTTAATGTTTGTCCCTCACAGGGGATTCCAGAACACTCCTGCTGCAGTCTGAATGTTTCTAACTCACACAGGATTCCAGAACACTGCTACGAGGGTCTGAATGTTTGTCCCTCACACTTAATAGCAGAACACTGATACAAGGGTCTGAATAATTGTCCCTAGCAAAGGATTCCAGAGCACTGTTACTGTGGTCTGAATGTTTGTCCCTCACATAGGATTCCAGAACACTGCTGCTGGGTTCTGAATGTATCTCCCTCACCTAGAATTCCAGAACGTTGAGACGAGGTTCTGAATGTTTGTCCATAACATAGGATTCCAGAACACTGCTACAATTGTCTCAATGTTTCTCACTCACATGGCATACCAGAACACTGCGGCGAGGGTCTGAATGTTTTCCCTCATATACGATTCCAGAACACTCATGCTGTGGTCTGAATGTTTGTCCCTTGCATAGGATTCCTGAACAATGCTGCGAGAGTCTGAATGTTTATCCCTCACATAGGATTCCAAAACACTCCTGCTGTAGTCTCAATGTTTGCCCCTCACATAGGATTCCAGAACAATCCTGCTGTGGTCTGAATGTTTGTCCCTCACATAGGGCTCCAGAACACTCCTGCTGGGTTCTAAGCGTTTCTCCCTCACCTTAAATTCCTCAACACTGTGATGAGGGTCTGAATGTTTGTCCATAAAATAGGATTCCTGAACACTCCCGCTGTTGTTTGAATGTTTGTTCCTCCCTTAGGACTCCAGAAAACTGCTGCTGGGTTCTGAATGGTTGTCCCTCACACAGGTTTCCAGAACACTGTTACGAGGGTCTGAATGTCCCTCACATAGGATTCCAGAACACTGTTGAGAAGTTCTAAATGTTTGTCTGTCATATAGGATTCCAGAGAACAGCTACGAGGGTCTGAATGTTTGTTCCTCACAGAGGATTCCAGAAGAGTCCTGCTTTGGTGTGAATGTTTGTGCCTCACACAGGAATTCAGAACACGGCTATGAGGTTGTGAATGTTTGTCCCTCACACACAATTCCAGAATGCTGCTATGAGGGTCTGAATGATTGTCCCTCACATAGGATTCCAGAACACTGCTGCTGGGTTGCGAGTGTGTCTCCCTCACATAGAATTCCAGAACACTGCGAAGAAGTTCTGAATATTTGTCCATAACATAGGATTCCAGAACACTCCTGCAGTTGTTTGAATTTTTGTCCCTCCCATAGGATTCCAGAACACTACTGCTGGGGTGTGAGTGTATGTCCCTCACTTAGGATTCCAGAACACTGCAAAGATTCTCTTAAAGATTGTCCCTCACATAGGTTTCCGGAACACTGCTATGAGAGTCTGAATGTTTGTCCCTCACACAGGATTCCATAATACTCCTGCTGTGTTCTGAATATTTGTACGTCACATAGGATTCCTGAACACTACTACGAGATTCTGAATGTTTGTTGCTCACATAGGATTCCAAAATGTCCCTGCTGTGTTCTGAGTGTTTGTCCCTCACATAGGGTCACTGCTGCTGGGTTCTCAGTGTTTCTCACTCACATAGAATTCCAGAACACTGCAAAGAGGTTCTGAATGTTTTTCTGTAACATAGTATTCCAGAACACTCTCGCTGTTTTTTGAATGTTTGTCCCTCACATAGGATTCCAGAACACTTCTGCTGGTGTCTGAAAGTTTGTCCCTCACACAGGATTCCAGAACACTGCTACGAGGGTCTGAATGTTTTTCCCTCACAAAGGGTTCCAGAACAAAGCTGTTGGAGTCATAATGTTTGTCTGTCACACAGGATTCTAGAACACTGCTACGAGGTTATGAATGTTTGTTCCTCAAAGGGTTTTTCAGAACACTCCTGTTGTTGTCTGAATGTGTGTCCCTCACACAGGATTCCAGAACACTGCTACGAGGTTCTGAATGTTTCTCCCTTACATAGAATTCCAGAACACTGCTACCAATGTCTGAATGTTTGTCTCTCACATAGGATTCCAGAACACTGCTACGATTGTCTGAAAGTTTGTCGCTCACATAGGATTCCAGAACACTGCTACGATTGTCTGAAAGTTTGTCCCTCACATAGGATTCCAGAACGCTGCTATGAGGGTCTGAATGTTTGTCCCTCATGCAGAGTACCAGAACACTGCTTCGAGGGTCTGAATGATTGTCCCTCACATAGGATTCCAGAACACGGCTGCTGGGGTCTCAATGTTTGTGCCACACATAGGATTCCAGAATACGGCTGCTGGGGTCCACTTGTAAGTCCGTCACAATGGATTCCAGAACACAGCTGCTGGGTTCTGAGTGTTTCTCCCTCACTTGGAATTTCAGAACACTGATATGAGGGTCTGAAAGTTTTTCTGTTACTTAGGACTCCAGGGCTTTCCCTCTGTTGTTTGAATGTTTGTCCCTCACAGAGGATTCCAGAAAAATGCTACGATTGTATGAATGTTTGTCCCCCACATATGATTAAAGAACACTGCGAAGAGGGTCTGAATGTTTGTCTGAAACATAGGTTTCCCAAACAGTTTCGCTGTTGTTTGACTGTTTTTCCCTCACATAGGATTCCAGAAAAATGCTACGATTGTATGAATGCTGGTCCCTCACATAGGATTCCAGAACAGTGCTACGAGGGTCTGAATATTTGTCCCTCACATGGGATTCCAGAACACTTCTGCTGTGTTCTGAATGTTTGGCCCTCAGAAAGGATTCCTGAACTCTGCTACGACAGTATGAATGTTTGTCCCTCACATCAGATTCCAAAACACTCCTACTGTGTTCTGAGTGTTTGTCCCTCACATAGAATTCTAGAACAGTCCTGCTATTGTCTGAATGTTTGTCACACACACAGGGTTGCTGATAACTGCTGCTGAGTTCTGAATGTTTCTCCCTAACATAGAACTCTAGAACACTGTGACGAGGTTCGGAATGTTTGTCGGTAACATAGGATTCAAAAACACTCATGCTGTTGTTTGAATGTTTGTCCCTCAAGTAGGATTCCAGAACACTGCTTCTGGGGACTACATGTATGTCTGTCACATAGGATTCCAGAACACTGCTGTTGGGTTCTGTGTGTTTCTCCCTCACATAGAATTCCAGAACACTGCGATGAGGGTATGAATGTTGTTCATAACATAGGACTCCAGAAAACTCACGCTCTTCTTTGAATGTTTGTCCCTCACGTTGGATTCCAGAACACTGCTGCTGGGGTCTCAAAGTTTGTCCCTAACATAGGATTCCAGAACACTGCTACGATTGTCTGAATATTTTGCCTTCACATAATATTCCAGAACACTGCTACGAGGGTCTGAATGTTTGTCCCTCAAATAGGATTCCAGAATGCTGCTGCTGGGTTCTAAATGTTTGTCGGTCACATAGGATTCCAGAACACTGCTGCTGGGGTCTGAATGTTTGTCCCTCACATATTATTCCAGAACACTGCTGGGTTCTAAATGTTTGTTGGTCACATCAGATTCCAGAACACTGCTGCTGGGGTGTGAATGTTTATCCCTCACATAGGATTCCAGAACACAGTTGCTGGGGTCTACATGTATGCCAGTCACATGGGATTCCAGAACACTGCTGCTGGGTTCACAGTGTTTCTCCCTCACATAGAATTCCAGATAATTGAGACAATATTCTGAATGTTTGACCATAACATAGGATTCCAGAACATTCCCGCTCTTGTTTGAATGTTTGTCCCTCACATAGCATTGCAGAACACTGCTGCTGGGGTCTGAATGTTTGTCTCTCACATAGGATTCCAGTACACTGCTACGATTGTCAGAATGTTTATCCCTCACCTAGGATTACAGAACACTGCTATGATGCTCTGAAAGTTTGTCCCTCACATAGGATTCCAGAACACTGCTGCTGAGGTATAAATGTTTGTCCATCACATGGGATTCCAGAACAAAGCTACGAGTGTCTGAATGTTCCTCACAGCAGATTCCATAACACTCCTGCTGTGGTCTCAATGTGTGTCCCTCACAAAGGATTTCAGAACACGGCTAAGAGGGTATGAATGTTTGTCCCTCATACAGAATTCCAGAACACTGCTACGAGGGTCTGAATGCTGGTCCCTCACATAGGACACCAGAACACTGCTACGGTTGTCTGAATGTTTGTCCCTTCCATAGGATTCCTGAACACTGCTTCGAGGGTCTGAATGTTTGTCCCTCACATTGCATTCCAAAACACTCCTGTTGTGTTCTGTGAGTTTGACCCTCACATAGGATTCCAGAACAATCCTGCTGTGGTGTGAATGCTTGTCCCTCACATATGGTTCCAGAACACTGTTGCTGGGTTCTGAGTGTTTGTCCCTCACAAGGGATTCCAGAACACTGCTACGAGGGTGTGAATGTTTGTCCCACACAAAGGATTCCAGAACACTGCTACTGGGGTCTAAATGTTTGTCCGTCACATAGCATTCCTGAACAATGTTACAAGAATCTGAATGTTTGTACCTCACATAGGATTCCTGAACCACTGCTACGAGGGTCTGAATGTTTGTCCCTCACATAGAATTCCAAAATACTCCTGCTGTGTTCTGAGTGTTTGTCCCTCACATAGCATTCCAGAACACTGCAGCTAGGGTCTAAATGTCCGTCACATAGGATTCTGGAAAACTACTATGAGGTTCTGAATGTTTGTCTCTCACACAGAATTCCAGAACACTGCTACGAGTTTCTGAATGACAGTCCCTCACATAGGATTCCAGAATACTGCTGCTGGGGTCTGAATGCTTGTCCCTCACATAGGATTCCAGAACTCTGCTGCTGGGGTGTACATGTATGTCCGTCACATAGGATTCCAGAACACTGCTGCTGGGTTCTGAGTGTTTCTCACTCGCATAGGATTCCAGAACACTGCTACAAGTGTCTGAATGTTTGTCTGTCACATTGGATTCCAAAACACTCCTGCTGTGTTCTGAGTGTTTGTTCCTCACATAAGATTGCAGAACACTCCTGCTGTGGCCGGAAAGTTTGTCCCTCACATAAGATTCCAGAACACTGCTGCTGGAATCTGAATATTTGTCCCTCAAGTAGGTTTCTAGAACAATGCTACTATTGTTTGAATGTTTGTCCCTCACATGGGATTCCAGAACGCTCCTGCTGTGGTCTGAAAGTTTGTCCCTCACATAGGATTCCTGAACACTGCTACGAGTGCCTGCATGTTTGTCCCTCACATCAGATTCCAATACATTCCTGCTGTGTTCTGAGTATTTCTCCCTCACATATGATTCTAGAGCAATCCTGCTGTGATCTGAATGTTTGTCCCTCACATAGGGATCCAGAACACTGTTGCTGGGTTCTTAATGTTTCTCCCTAAAGTAGAACTCCAGAACACTGCCTCGAGGGTGTGAATGCTTGTCCGTAACACAGGATTCCAGAACACTCTAACTGTTGTTTGAATGTTTGTCCCTCAAATAGGATTCCAGAACAGTGCTGCTGGGGTCTACATGCATGTCCGTCAGAGAGGATACCAGAACACTGATGCTCGGTTCTGAGTGTTTCTCCCTCACATCGAATTCTAGCACACTGTGACCAGTTTCTGAATGTTTTTCTGTAACATGGGATTCTAGAACACTCCCGCTGTTATTTGAATGTTTGTCCCTCACATAGGATTCCAGAACACTGCTATGAGTGTCTGAATGTTTGTCCCTCACTTAAGATTCCAGAACACTGCTATGAGGGTCTGAATGTTTTTCCCTCACATAGGAATCCAGAACACCGTTACGAGGGTCGGATTGTTCGTTCCTCTCAGGGGATTCCTGAACACTCCTGCTGTGGTCTGAATGATTGTCTGTCAAACAGGATTCCAGGACACTGCTACGAGGGTCTGAATGTTTGTCCCTCACACAGAATTCCAGAACACTGCTACGTGGGTCTGAATGATTGTCCCTCACGTAGGATTCCAGAACACTGCCATGAGGGTCTTAATGTTTGCTCCTCACTTAGGACTCCAGAACATTCCTGCTGTGGTCTGAATGTTTCTCCCCCACATAGGATTCCTGAACACTGCTATGAGGGTCTGGATGTTTGTCCCTCACATAGGATTCCAAAACATTCCTGCTGTGTTCCGAGTGTTTGTCCCTCACATACGATTCCAGAACAATCCTGCTGTGGTCCGAATGTTTGTCCCTCACATGCGGTTCCAGAGCACAGCTGCTGGGTTCTGAGTGTTTCTCCCTCACATAGAATTCCAGAACACTGCGACGAGTTTCTGAACGTTTGTCCATAACATTGGATTCCAAAACACTCTTGCTGTTGTTTGAATGTTTGTCCGTCACACAGGATTCCAGAATACTGCTGCTGGGGTCTGAATGTTTGTCCCTTACGAAAGATTCTAGAACACTGCTATGATTGTCTGAATGTTTGTCTCTAATACAGGGTCCCAGAACACTGTGACGAGTGTCTGAATGTTTGTCCATAATATAGGTTTCCAGAACACAGCTGCTGTTGTTTGTTTTTCCCTCACAGGATTCCAGAACAATACTGCAATTGTATGAGCGTTTGTCCCTCACATTGGATTCCAGAACACTGCTTCGAGGTTCTGAATGTTTGTCCCTCACACTGAATTACAGAACACAGCTGGTGGGGTGGAAATGTTTGTCCGTCACATAGGATTCCAGGACAGTGCCACGAGGGTCTGAAAGTTTGTTCCTCACAGGGGATTCCAGATCACTCCCGATGTGTCTGAATGTTTGTCCCTCACACAGGATTGCATAACACTGCTATGATGGTCTGAATGATTGTCACTCAAGCAGAATTCCAGAACACTGCTACTAGGTCTGAATGACTTTCCCTCACATAGGATTCCAGAACATTGCTGCTGGTTTCTGAATGTTTGTCCTTCACATAAGATTCCAGAACACTGCTGCTGGTGTCTACATGTATGTCTGTCACATAGAATTCCAGAACACTGCTGCTGGGTTCTGAGCATTTCTCCCTCATGCAGAATTCCAGAACACTACAACGAGGTTCTGAATGTTTGCCCATAACACAGGATTCCAGAACACTCCCGCTGTTGTTTGAATGTTTGTCACTCACATAGGATTCCAGAACACTAACACGAGGGTCTGAATGTTTGTTCCTCACATAGGATTCCAGAACACTGCTACAAGGGTTTGAATGTTTGTTCTTCGTTGGGGATTCCAGAACACTCCTGCTCTGGTATGAATGTTTATCCCTCACATAGAATTCCAGAACACTGCTATGAGGGTCTGAATTTTTTGTCCCTCACACAGAATTCCCCAACACTGCTATGAGGGTCTGAATAATTGCCCTACCATAGGGTTCCAGAACACTGCTGCTGGGGTCCAAATTATTGTCCCTCAGATAGGATTCCAGAACATGCTGATGGGGTCTACATGTATTGCCGTCACATAGGATTCCAGAACACTGCTGCTAGATTCTGCATTTTGCTCCCTCACATAGAATTCCAGAAGAGTGCGACGAGGGTCTGAATGTTTTTTCATATCATAGGATTCCAGAACACTCCTGCTGTTGTTTGAATGTTTGTTCCTCACACAGGATTCCACAACACAGCTAAAAATGTCTGAAAGTTTGTCCCTCAGATAGGATTCCAGAACACTGCGGCTGTGGTCTGAATGTTTGTCCCTCACATAGGATTCCAGAACACTGCTATGATTGTCTGAATGTTTGTCCCTCACATAGCATTCCAGACCACTGCTACAAGGGTCTAAAGGCTTGTTCCTCACAAAGGATTCCAGAGCACACCTGCTGTGGTCTGATTGTTTGTTCCTCACATAGGATTCCTGAACACTGCTGCTAGGGTCTGAATGTTGGCCTTCACATAGGATTCCAGAACCCTGATACGATTGTCTGAATGTTTGTCCCTCACACAGCACTACAGAACACTGCTACGAGGGTCTGAATGTTTGTTCCTCACATGGGATTCCAGAACACTGCTATGATTGTCTGAATGTTTGTTCCTCACATAGGTTTCCAGAAAACTTCTGCTATGGTCTGAAAGTTTATCCCTCACATAGGATTCCAGAACACTGCTACGAGGGTCTGAATGTTTGTCCCTTCACATAGGATTACAGAACGCTGCTGCTGTTGTCCAAACATCTCTCTGTCACATAGGGTTCCAGAACACTGCAACATGTGTCTGAATGTTTTCCCTCACATAGGATTCCAGAACACTCTCATTGTTGTTTGAATGTTTGTTCCTCACATAGGATTCCAGAACACTGCTGCTGGGGTCTGAATGATTGTTCCTCACATAGGATTCCAGAACACTGCTGCTGGGTTCTGAGTGTTTCTCCCTCACGTAGATTTCCAGAAAACAGGGACGAGGGTCTGAATGTTTGTCCATAACAGAGGATTTCAGGACACTCTCGCTGTTGTTTGAAAGTTTGTCCCTCTCTAACGGGGACAAATTTTGTGTCTCTATTTCCTTCAGTTATGCTCTGATTTTAGTTATTTCTTGCCTTCTGCTAGCTTTTGAATGTGTTTGCTCTTGCTTTTCTAGTTCTTTTAATTGTGATGTTAGGGTGTCAATCTTGGATCTTTCCTGCATTCTCTTGTGGGCATTTAGTGCTATAAATTTCCCTCTACACACTGCTTTAAATGTGTCCCAGAGATTCTGGTATGTTGTGTCTTTGTTCTCGTTGGTTTCAAAGAACATCTTTATTTCTGCCTTCATTTCGTTATGTACCCAGTAGTCATTCAGGAGGAGGTTTTTCAATTTCCATGTAGTTGAGCGGTTTTGAGTGAGTTTCTTAATCCTGAGTTCTAGTTTGATTGCACTGTGGTCTGAGAGACAGTTTGTTATAATTTCTGTTCTTTTACATTTGCTGAGGAGTGCTTTACTTCCAACTATGTGGTCAATTTTGGAATAGGTGTGGTGTGGTGTTGAAAAAAATGTGTATTCTGTTGATTTGGGGTGGAGAGTTCTGTAGATGTCTATTATGTCTGCTTGGTGCAGAGCTGAGTTCAATTCCTGGGTATCCTTGTTAATTTTCTGTCTCGTTGATTTGTCCAATGTTGAGAGTGGGGTGTTAAAGTCTCCCATTATTATTGTGTGGGAGTCTAAGTCTCTTTGTAGGTCACTCAGGACTTGCTTTATGAATCTGGGTGCTCCTGTATTGGATGCATATATATTTAGGATAGTGAGCTCTTCTTGTTGAATTGATCCCTTTACCATTATGTAATGGCCTTCTTTGTCTCTTTTGAACTTTGTTGGTTTAAAGTCTGTTTTATCAGAGACTAGGATTGCAAACCCTGCCTTTTTTCGTTTTCCATTTTCTTGGTAGATCTTCCTCCATCCCTTTATTTTGAGCCTAAACCCTAGAAGGAAACCTGGTCAATACCATTCAGGATATAGTCATGGGCAAGGACTTCATGTCTTAAACACCAAAAGTAATGGCAACAAAAACCAAAATTGGGCCGGGCGCGGTGGCTCACGCCTGTAATCCCAGCACTTTGGGAGGCTGAGGCGGGCGGATCACGAGGTCAGGAGATCGAGACCATCCCGGCTAAAACGGTGAAACCCCGTCTCTACTAAAAATACAAAAAATTAGCCGGGCGTAGTGGCGGGCGCCTGTAGTCCCACCTACTTGGGAGGCTGAGGCAGGAGAATGGCGTGAACCCGGGAGGCGGAGCTTGCAGTGAGCCGAGATCCCGCCACTGCACTCCAGCCTGGGCGACAGAGCGAGACTCCGTCTCAAAAAAAAAAAAAAAAAAAAAAAAAAAAAACAAAACAAAAAAAAAACCAAAATTGACAAATGGGATCTCATTAAACTAAAGAGCTTCTGCACAGCAAAAGAAACTACCATCAGAGTGAACAGGCAACCTATAAAATGGGTGAAAATTTTTGCAACCTACTCATCTGACAAAGGGCTAATATCCAGAATCTACAATGAACTCAAACAAATTGACAAGAAAAAAACAAACAACCCCATCAAAAAGTGGGTGAAGGACATGAACAGACACTTCTCAAAAGAAGACATTTATGCAGCCAAAAAACACATGAAAAGATGCTCATCATCACTGGCCATCAGAGAAATGCAAATCAAAACCACAATGAGATACCATCTCACACCAGTTATAACGGCGATCATTAAAAAGTCAGGAAACAACAGGTGCTGGAGAGGATGTGGAGAAATAGGAACACTTTTACACTGTTGGTGGGACTGTAAAGTAGTTCAACCATTGTGAAAGTCACTGTGGTGATTCCTCAGGGATCTAGAACTAGAAATACCATTTGACCCAGCCATCCCATTACTGGGTATATACCCAAAGGATTATAAATCATGCTGCTATAAAGACACAAGCACACGTATGTTTATTGTGGCACTATTCACAATAGCAAAGACTTGGAACCAACCCAAATGTCCAACAACGATAGACTGGATTAAGAAAATGTGGCACATATACACCATGGAATACTATGCAGCCATAAAAAGTTATGAGTTCATGTGCTTTGTAGGGACATGGATGAAACTGGAAACCATCATTCTCAGCAAACTATCACAAGGAGAAAAAACCAAACACCTCATGTTCTCACTCATAGGTGGGAATTGAACAATGAGAACACATGGACACAGGAAGGGGAACATCACACACCAGGGACTGTTGTGGGTTGGGGGAAGGGGACAGGGATAGCATTAGGAGATATACCTAATGCTAAATGACGAGTTAATGAGTGCAGCACACCAATATGGCACATGTATACATATGTAACAAACCTTCACGTTGTGCACATGTACCCTAAAACTTAAAGTATAATAATAATATAATAAAATAAAAATAAAAAAAGAGAGGAAGTAAGCCATCCTGTTTCCTAATGAGAAAGCATTCCAGGCAAAGGGGACCACACATGCAAAGGCCCTGATGCAGAAGCACATCTGCCTGGTGTCTTTGAAGATTGCAGTAATACAGGGGAGACTGATTGGACTAGACATCAGAGAAGTGTCAGGGGACAAGATGGTTTAAAACATTCCTAGCCATGGAAGATTTTAAGCAGATGAAAACATTATTTTCCTTATGCTTTAAAAAGACTTACTCTGAATCACCTGAGGTCAGGAGTTCGAGACCTGCCTGGCCAACATGGCAAAACCCCATCTCCATTAAAAACACAAAAATTAGCCAGGCTTGGTGGTGCATGCCTGTAGTCCCAGCTACTTGGGAGGCTGAGGCAGGAGAATCACTTGAACCCAGGAGGTAGAGGTTGTAGTGAACCCAGATTGCACCACTGCACTCCAGCCTGGGCGACAGAGACTCTGTCTCAAAAAAAATAAAATAAAGACTTACTCTGGTTGCTCAGTGAAGAACAAAGTACAGGGAGAAAGAGAAAGTAGGAGAGGAGTTAGGAGGCTATTTTGGTAATCTATGAAAACAATGACGTAAAGTGAAGCAGGTTGTACACAATGGGTGTGACAAGGGAAGCTCAGATTCTTAATACAGTTCAACAGTGTATGCTGATATGAGGTGCAAGAAACAAAGAGGGGTCAAGGCAAGTTTTCTGGCCTAATGGCTGGTACGCTGGAGGTGCTATTTACTGAGATGGAGATGACCGAGGAGTGTTGGGCCCAGGGGTTGAAGGTGGAGGATCAAGATTTCCCTTATGGATGTGTGATAGTTGAGTTGTCTATTAGTCTTCCAATTGGTGATAATTGGTAGATAATTAGATATGAGTCTAAATTTTAGAGGAGAGGTAGGAGCTGGAAATATGTGTTCATGGACCATGCACATATACATAGAATTTAATGCCATTGGGCTTCATGAGATCACAGAAGCATGAGTGCACCTAGAAAAACGGTTGAGAACTGAGACCTGGGATACTCCCTTGTTAAAAGGTAAATGTTCCTTCTACATTTTGAATTTATAGAAATAATGACACAGTAGCCAGTTGCTGAAACACTACCCAGTTCAGAGTAACAAAATTCCTATTTTATCAAATCACTGAATGCCATTTAAAATTCAGAATACTTGCAGTGATCCCAAATATCGTCATAAAGATGAAAGCCTAAGTTCACATTGGTGACCTAGCCTCTGCCTTCCTGATCGTCTATTTAAAAATAACAATAATGATAATAATAAGAAGAAATATTCATGGATCACTAGATATGTTGAAATACACTCAAAGGTAGATTAATTTCTGTTCTACTATACCCTTGTAACTATCAGTCTATAAAATAGTTTTATTAGAAAGGCACAGTCACCCTCAAGCCAATAGCAGCTTACAAATACGGGGCAAGGAGCCTGGTGTGGAGAGGCTGATAAATAATTGAGAAAACTAGTAGATATGAAGCTAACAAATAAAACTGTCAACCAGAATGAGGCAGATAAGCCAGACGCAGTGCAAGTGGCCGGTCAAGACAGGTAGACAGACAGAAGCCAGGAGTGAGAGACGGGAGGTCCAAAGTGCAATAAAACACTCAAGCACCAGTCAATCCATGGGAGCTTACAGCGGGGTGGCGGATGAAGGGGGGAGCATCCAGGTAGAGGGGAAGGAATGGAGGTGTGAACGGGAGGCAGGAGGGCACAAGCTATTTGATATGTTTGGAGAGTTAGGTGCTTTTTTGAGGCTGAGAAATAACTGGAAGCCAGAATCTGGAGGACTGGGTAGACCATGTTAAACAGCAAGCACTTGATTCTACACGTGTTGGACGCCAGTGCAGGGCTTCTAAGCAAGGCAGTGACATGATCACATCACATTTTAGGAAGGGTATAAATTAGGCATGGCCACAGGCAGGAAGACCTGAGGGATCTCATACAGTCAGGGATAAGAGTCTAAACGACAAGGTAGCCATGAACATTCAAAGAAAGAAGACTGAAGAGACTTTAGAGGGCAGTCCCCATGGGACCTGAGTGAAGGGGTTTGGGAGATTCACAGCTTTCTGCTGTGAAGTCAAGGATATCACAAACTATCGGAATAAAAGAAACAGTCCTATGGCTGGGGGTAGGTGGATGAATGTGGTTCCATTTTGAACAAGAGGAGAAAATTCAGGTAATTCATTTGGATTGATTAAGCAAAAGAATTTGAAGCTGAACATTATAGAAGCAACAACAATTCTTATGATATTGGGGTATAGGAAACAGGCCCAAGAAAGCACAATATTTCCTGTTTCTCTTCTGATTCAATAAATAATATTTTCTGTTAAGGCTTTTGATAACTTGTTTTAATTAATCAAAAGGAGACAAGACAAATTTGAACTTAAAAGAATAAGAAAAGCAGTTGTCTTTTTAGAAAAGGTGAGTCAGTATTTCCTATCATCTTAAATCATCCTTCAAATAATGGGCTATGAAACAAATGAGATCCTACTAATCTAGTCTTTTCCTTGATAGATTAAAAACTGGATCTCTTCGTTACACCTTATACAAAAATGAATTCAAGATGGATTAAAGACTTAAATGTTAGACCTAAAACCATAAAAACCCTAGAAGAAAACCTAGGCATTACCATTCAGGACATAGGCATGGGCAAGGACTTCATGTCTAAAACACCAAAAGCAATGGCAACAAAAGACAAAATTGACAAATGGGATCTCATTAAACTAAAGAGCTTCTGCACAGCAAAAGAAACTACCATCAGAGTGAACAGGCAAACTACAAAATGGGAGAAAATTTTCACAACCTACTCATCTGACAAAGGGCTAATATCCAGAATCTACAATGAACTCAAACAAATTTACAAGAAAAAAACAAACAACCCCATCAAAAAGTGGGCGAAGGACATGAACAGACACTTCTCAAAAGAAGACATTTATGCAGCCAAAAAACACATGAAAAAATGCTCACCATCACTGGCCATCAGAGAAATGCAAATCAAAACCACAATGAGATACCATCTCACACCAGTTAGAATGGCAATCGTTAAAAAGTCAGGAAACAACAGGTGCTGGAGAGGATGTGGAGAAATAGGAACACTTTTACACTGTTGGTGGGTCTGTAAACAAGTTCAACCATTGTGGAAGTCAGTGTGGAGATTCCTCAGGGATCTAGAACTGGAAATAAGATTTGACCCAGCCATCCCATTACTGGGTATATACCCAAAGGACTATAAATCATGTGGCTATAAAGACACATGCACACGTATGTTTATTGCGGCACTATTCCCAATAGCAAAGACTTGGAACCAACCCAAATGTCCAACAATGATAGACTGGATTAAGAAAATGTGGCACATATACACCATGGAATACTATGCAGCCATAAAAAATGATGAGTTCATGTCCTTTGCAGGGAAATGGATGAAATTGGAAATCATCATTCTCAGTAAACTATCGCAAGAACAAAAAACCAAATACCGCATGTTCTCACTCATAGGTGGGAATTGAACAATGAGATCACATGGACACAGGAAGGGGAATATCACACTCTGGGGACTGTTGTGGGGTGGGGGGAGGGGAGAGGGATAGCATTGGGAGATATACCTAATGCTAGATGACGAGTTAGTTGGTGCAGCGCAGCAGCATGTCACATGTATACATATGTAACTAACCTGCACAATGTGCACATGTACCCTAAAACATAAAGTATAATAATAAAAAAAAGAAAGAGAAAGTGAAAAAAAATAAATAAAATAAAGTGGATGAGTTAAAAAAAAAAAACTGTACCAAAATCTTACTATATTGCAAAGACACTAATTCACTCAATTGAGAATCCACAGTATACAAACATATAAATCAAGGGAATTTTAAAACCAATCATTGTGTTCAAAATGGGAAGATTATTCAAAATTTTGTCTACATATTTTAGAATAATTTCACAGCTAAAAACCCTGTACTTTATAAAATCATCATCCAGTATTTAATAAAGTGTGTCTATAACAATGTCAACATTGGAATTTAACAGTTTACAAAGCACTTTTGATACATCACATTTAAATGAAGGTAGCAACGAGTTCAGTACATTCACGCAGATTCAAAAACAGTAGTTTTTGAAGATTGCATTTGTTCATGTATGTCAGAAGGTTTGAACTATTTCCTACGCCTGCTATAGGTTTAAGCCTAAGAATTGTTATTCATTATATTTGGTCTTTAAATAAATCACGAAGGTAGAGGGTAGAGCACACCCCATGAATGCACTGAGGTGCTGTAAGTCTCCAACGCCAGAGGCGGCAGGTTGGAATTTAGTTCAATCACGCATTTGTTATGAGAACTCTGACAAGCTTCAGCTCTAATGTAAGCTTGGAAACACAAAGAAACTCTGCAAAAAATACTAAACACAGACACACACACACTCACTCCTCTCTTTTAAGACTGGCATAGAAGATGTAAGTGTACCAACAAGCAACCTCCAAAGAGCAAATGAAACAGAAAATTCAAACGAGTGCCTGGTAGGAGTTGTAACTTCAGCAAAGTGCCTCTCATTTCTGCCTCATAAACCCGTACTCATTTTTCACAACTAACTCACATAGCACCTCCTCAGTGACACCTTTCCTGTTCTGCCCACCAGATATACCTGCAGACCTAGTGTATCCTCTCGCCCAGAACACAGGGCATCTTAGACAGGGGGCTGTATCTACAGGGGGGTCTATGCTTTGACAGGAACTGTGAACCTATGGGCAGCGGATTTTCAATTCATGTTTGTGGCTCTCATTACAAATGTCCTGCCTCAGGCACCCAGCAGGTGGTAATAAATGCTGATTGAACACTAAAACCTTGGAATGCTACATCATTATTCTTAAGGATAATCATTTTTTAAAACATTTTGGAAGTTCTTTTGAAACTGACTTTTTAGATTATGAAAATATCTCAGTGATAGGTTTTGGTTTTCCAAGTTAGACATTATTTTAATTTAGAAACTTTCAAAGTTATACAAAACAAAGCATGTGCCTCTGTGCATTTTGTTTTCTGTCCTTCCTTAATGCTAAGGAAGTGTTTCTTCGCTTTTATAGGCCAATGCTCCACAAATGAATGTGTTAACGAAAGAACAAATTAATAAATGACATGAATGAAAGCTCAAACTGCATAAAAGTATATTTACTTAAAAATGAGAGGTGACGATTGCTAACATGTCATAATCATACTCTGTCCTGACCTCGGCAAGCCACAACTTTGACAATAAAGAGGAAAGAGGATCCAGTCCCTAAATACCGCAGGTTCACTAAGACCTTCCGACGTGCCCGAAGAAGATACACTTGCAGAGGAGAAATGATGATGCAGAGGCCTGCTCTGAGATGCAGGAGGAAGTCTAATTGCCTGTGAATTTGACTGGGATGGAAGGGATGAAACGAGGTTTGAAAGGAAATAGAGATTGTTAAATTCCTGACTAGGCAATAACTGCCGTCCTTCTCTTCTATCTGCCCCTGTGACTAGGCGATAACTGCCGTCCTTCTCTTCTATCTGCCCCTGTGACTAGGCGATAACTGCCATCCTTCTCTTCTATCTGCCCCTGTGACTAGGCGATAACTGCCGTCCTTCTCTTCTATCTGCCCCTACCTTGGGCCCCAAATGACTCAGCACTAAAGTGCCTTGAGCAGGCTCCAGTCCAAAAGTGGCCTCTATGGGCACCACCTCCTGCTCTGCTGCCCTGCCTCGCTTTCCTCCTCGGCCTTCCCGGATGAATGACAGATGTCATTCCCAGGTTCCCTAACACTCAAGTCTAGCCCCTCAGTTTCTAGCAAGCATCAAGCTTCACTGTATGTCTAGCCTCTCAGGAGTCAGACCTCAGAAGTACAGCTTGGTGTAAATTCAGAGGCAGGGAAGAAAGAAGGAAAGCAGACCCTGAGCTGGGTTCATACACATCATCGCAATTCATCCACACCGCAGTCCTGTGAGTTATGTGCCACTGTACTCAGAAAACTGAGGCTCAAAGAGATTGAGCAACTTATCTAAGACCTCACAGGTCCTGAGAGCAGACCCTGGATTTCAAACACCTGGAAGACTCTGAAATCCATGTTAGCTCTTCTATACATGGGCCCAAAATGCAGCTGTACACCAGCAAGACTGACTTCCTCTTGTGGCTTATCACTATCTCTGAACACAAGAATCCTCAAAATGCTTTATAACCAACAGTAGCATCATGGGAATAAGTTGGCAAGTTCCCAGCATTACTGCTTTAGATGCACTTGAACTTTTTCTCCATGTATAGAGTCAAGAATAAGAAAAAAGGATCCAAAGGAGGACAGAAATAAAATGGGACTGAGCCTTATAATTCTTGACCAGAACAGATAATGTTGGGATTTTCCTTACTTTTTTTTCCAGACAAATCCAATAAAGACATCTGTTTCTGTTACCTAAAACCAACTAGAAAAGTTTGCTCCCTCCCACCTTAAGCGGCTTTGTATAGAGCCCACAGTTGAACATTGGCTCCTACAGCAAAGATTGATTTCAAAGTTTTTATAGTATTATTCAAAGCACGTTTGATTTCAGCCTTGGCAACCAGGGGCAGGATATCAGCAATGCTCCCTGTATTAGCTATTGGAGAGAAAACACTGTGAAACTCTAAGACCTTGGTTATTGGGCCAATGAAACATTTATGCCCTGATCAGATGAAGCAAAACTTCGGCAGGGTTAGTGAGCCACCTTCCGAGTGTACCAATGAAGCTCTTGCCTGCTGTTTCAGATAAATGACTCTCATTTCACTGTTGGCTTGTGCTTGAGAAGGTTATACAATTGATTCCAGTTGTTTGCAATGCCTTGAAGGCAAATAACGTTGTAGCATCCACTGTCCTCATAATACGCTGTTTCTTTTCTAAGGAAGGTTGTTGTCTTAATATCCTAGATAACAACAGAAAATATTCCACTTCTTATCATATATTAATTTTGCTCTGGAATAAGTACATGTAACTACCAGAATGCTAATGAGGATGTTACACTGATGTTTATTTGTGTGTTCTAATCTGTAGATAAACAGCAAGGTCTCTTTTAATTCATGATTCCAAGTCTCAGGCCACAGCAGGACAAGTATCAAAACATCTACTCTTAATTCGGAGTTGAGATTTCTAATAAGAATTCTATTTTCTCCATAATCATAAAATAGCACCAGGAAAAGTCAATATCTTAAAATACAGATCATTGAAAAGTAGATCTTTCTGCCCTTAACATAAACAAGCTGTAAAATCTGAAGTTAAAATTATTCCTTGTACCAACCTCCGAATTTACCCAGAGTTAACAGAAAAGTTATAGCAGTGCATGAAGCTCTGAGGTTTTGATGGGTGTAGATATAGACATCCAAAGCTGTCATTTCACACTAGTCAGAATACCAGTCATAGAAATCCCACAGGAAAAATCATTTCTGAAGGTATCTGGTCTTATGGATTATAAAATTAAACTTTCTTATCATTGTACCTAAACCAAAATATGCTTCCTATACAAAGAAGTTTTCTTTCAAGAGTTAAGACCACCTCCCGACATCCCCCTTAACACACACACACACACACACACACACACACAGAGAGAGAGAGAGAGAGAGAGAATTGAGAGCATTAGTGGCTTTCTCCCTTAGACTGATTTTTTCTTACTGTTATTTTCAGCCACTTTGTTAACAGTGGAGTTAAAGGGCAGGATAGATGTAACACCCATTTCACATACATGTTGCAACATCAGAGATGCTGGTTTTCATTAAAAACACCAGTTCTAAATTCCTTCTAAAATATATTTTTAAAAATCAGTACACTTGGCACCTTGGAAATGCTGAAATGTTATCATGAATGGTGGTTACTAGTTATGAGTCAACTGAATATTATCTTCAATATAAACTATAATATTCTGGTCTGAACACTCTTCCTATCTTATCTGTATATACTCAAAGGGAGCAATTTCTCATGTTTAGCAAATTGTTCTTCAGGTAATTTGTTCTTTAGGTTTTTTGTACAAAAGTACAAAATAGTTATCACAGCAAACTTTCCAGTGTTTTTTATTTTGAAGCTATATATTTTGGAGGGAACTTGGTTTTCTTTTTATTTTTATTTTTTGCCATGTCAGGCTTGAGCAGGATAGCAAATATATAAATTGAGCTCTCTAATTATAATCTCAATATATGAATTCTTGCTAATTAAAATACTTTGCACCAGCAAAAACAATTTCCACATATGTGTTTAGGTGGTAGTTAAGTAACTCCATATAAAAATAAGTGCACTTTCCCCTCCTTTCTTCAGTGACTAGAAAACTTCCATACTTTTAAAATAATCAAATAATAATTTAGAGAGCAACAGCTCTCAACTCTTTGCTGGTGCTTATCACACTGCCTTTCTTCACTCCATTCTTAGCTCTGCTAATTCCTTCTTGTCTGTAATGATAATAAGGGAATGTGGGTGGGTCAGCACTTCTGTGTAGGTCCCCTTTCCAAATTTGTCTTCCAAAAAGCCAACCAAATAAACAACCAAAAAATCGTGCAACAAAACACAAATAGCATTCCAACAGCTTGGCAAGTGATGCATTCACCTGAGATTAAGTGGTTTTAGGCTGTCAGTAACAAAATTCTGCTTTACTGTCTTATTAGAAAGGCAACAAATTCTTCAAAGAAACCAAGAAGTTTACAACCTTGACAAAGTCTCTCATTACCTTCCTCCTCTTATGTCTTTTCTCTTCACATTATCTGTTGTGTATCTACTATAGAAGGCTGCAAAACATACAGCAGAAATGATGGCTTGAAGGCAATTGATGTTTGTAAATAAATACACAACAGGATCCAAGCTGAAGAGGTGAACACATCAGCCGGGTGGGACAATTCTCAGCATGGGCAAACATAGAAAAATTCTAGCCTATGTTACATTAAAAACAATGTCAGTGCATTTTTTCATGTTAAAGAGTTGTTCAAAGCTAAAGCATGTTCCTTGCTATGCTGACCACAAACAAGTTTTAAGAGTTTCGGAAGTCTGGCAAAAATAGAAACAAACAAACAAAAAAAAAAAAACTGAAGCAACATTAAACCGCACAATGTAAGCATTGGGCATGCACAAATTTTCAAAACAAAGGAAGGAAATCATCCCTCTCTACAACGTGGTTAGGCTGATTTTTATGAAATAAAATGTAAGAAATCAGAAAAGCAAAGGTTAGGCACCTACATATCCAATATCTGGCACCGCGCAGAGTAGAAGAGTGAAAGAAATAATGAAGAACAAAGTGGTTACTTTGCTTCAGGAGTTCATGATCTATAGTTAGAAACCAATATAAGCATTTTGAGTATATTTCAAAGAAAGAGCAAAAGCAGGCCGGGTGTGGTGGCTTGCACCTGCAGTAATAACACTTTGGGAGGCCAAGGTGGGAAGATTGCTTGAGCTCATGAGTTTGATACCAGCCTGAGAAATATAGTAAAACCTCATCTCTATAAAAAATTAATTAAAAAAAGGCAGAGCAAAAACAAATATGAAAGAAAACATTAGAAATCAGAGCTTGGGCAAAGAGTTCAACGTGAGCAAAGCAGCTCTGCCCTGGGGGACCTCTGGAGCATCCCAGCTTCCTGTAGAGGCCCCACCACATGGCCCTTTCCCATCACTGGGAACCATCTTCTGTATCATGCCAGGATTTTCCCCCAAACTTCTCAACCTAATTTATTCAGCCAAAACTTATATATTTCTTGAATCTTTACTAAGAGCAAGGCACTGTTCAACATAATGAAAATATGGCAATGATTTAAAACAAAAATGTTTACCCTCATGCAAATTATATTCCAGTGAGAAAAGACAGATCATTAATAAAATAACTATGGAAAATATATAATATGCCAGAAGGTAATAAGTGGCACAGAGAAAAATTAAGTGTGGAAGGGAGCTCAGGAATGCTGGGAGCGGGTAGATGTGAAGGTAGTTAGAATGCTCAAGGAGGGAGTAATAGGCAGAAGAATGGCCTTTCTACATGTCCATATCCCTATATGGCAAAAAGGACCTGTGGATGTGATGAAGTTATGGATCATGAGATGAGGAGATTATTCTGGATTACCCAGGTTGGCCCAATGTCATCACAAGAGTACTTAAAAGCAAAAGAGGGAGGCAGGAGAGTCTGAGGCAAGACGCATGACAGCTAGGGTCAGAATGATGTGGTTGCTGCCTGGAAGGGGGCCAGGGGCCAAGGGATGCAGGCATCCTTTCAAAGCTGGAGAAGGTAAGAAAGTGTTCTCTCTCCCCTAGAGAGAGTGTGTGTTCTCTTAGGCTACTAGAGGTGTGCTAATTTATTCCAGCAATCATAGAAAACTTATATAGAAGGTCTCACAGAGAAGATAACATTTGAACAAAGATTCCAAGGAGGTGAGGGCACCAGCTATGCAGATATCTGGGGAAGAGCACTCGAAGAAGAAAAGGCAGGCAAACAGCAGGGTGCGTAGCCCATGTGCATGAAGTAGAGAATACTGGGAGTCAGAAGGCTAACAGGAGACAGGTCAGAGAGAGGGACTGGGGTGGGTCAACTCACACTCAGCCTCACTGGCTATTGTTAGAACTTTGAGTTATTCTGAGACACTGAGTATAGGAGAGTCTATGAATATTTATAGAAATTCTGAACGTTTACAGGATGAATAAAAGTTGTATGCTAGTAAACCTATTGGTTGGGTGGGGAGAAGCCCAGATTTGTAGCATTTGCTAATTTCCATTGTGTAAATATTTCTACTGATGGTTTGACAAACACTTCACAAAATTTCTGGGTACTTAATTATCAGCTCCAGTAGAGTGCTGCATGTATGACACCCCATTTGCCAATTCCACACTAGATTCTATTGGGAACAAGCTGTATGAGAGTCAACTGGTGGCAGAAATAAGGAAGTCCTCAATAAAAATCAGCATTTACTTTTGACAGATGTGAGATTCTGGAACTTATTTCTCTTTACTTGCTCTGCCTGGTGATTAAATTATGATTTTAAAAGAAATAGTTTTAATTTCTTATTAGAATGCTGCCACCAAATAAATAAAATACGTACTTTAACTATATGCAATATTGTCTATATTATACTGTTGTTAACAGAAACATTATCGGGGCCAACTTCATGAAAGGAGATATGTGATAGAAGATGGAGTTGTTGGAATGAAAAAAAAGTCAAATTTTACTTTGGATCAATCAGAGGGAAGAAAGCAGACAGATAGGAAAAGAAAGGCAGGCTTAGCCAAGTTGAAGAAAGAGGCTGAACTCAGGAGGTAGTGGGAGAATAGGGTCATAGTTTGAAGAGAGCTGTGAGGCTGTTAATCTAGGTGAGGATCATAATCCCAGAAGACCCAGTGACAAACACCATAACCCTGAATGTTGAAATCCTGAAAGATCAAAATTCCTAAGGTCTAAATTCTTTTTTTTTTAATAGAGACAGAGTGAATTGGTTAATTCTCATGCTCCCAATAAAGACATACACGAGCCTGGGTAATTTATAAAAGAAAGAGGTTTAATTGACTCACAGTTCAGCATGGCTGGGAAGGCTTCAGAAAACTTAGAATCATGGTGAATGCAAACAAGAATCAAGGCACCTTCTTCACAAGGCAGCAGGAGGTGCTGAGCGAAAGGGGAAAAGCCCCTTATAAAACCTTCAGGTATCACTCACTGTCATGAGACCAGCATGGGGTAACCACCCCCATGATTCAATTACCTCCAACTGGGTTACTCCCACAACATGTAGGGATTGTGGAAACTACAATTCAAGGTGAGATTTGGGTGGGGACACAGCCAAACCATATCATTCTGCCCCCAGCCCCTTCCAAATCTCATGTCCTTACATTTTAAAACATGATCATGCCTTTCTAACAGTCCCCCAAAGTCTTAGCTCATTCCAGCATTAACCCAAATGTCCAAGTCCAAAGTCTTATCTTAGACAAGGCAAGGCCCTTCTTCCTATGAGCCTGTAAAATCAAAATCAAGTTAGTTACTTCATAGATTCAATGAAGATATAGGCATTGGGTAAATACACCTGTTCCAAATGGGAGAAATTGGCCAAAATGAAGGGATTGCAGGCCCCATGCAAGTCCAAAATTCAATGGGTCAGTCAAATCTTGAAGCTCTGTAATGATTTCCTTTGACTTCGTGTCTCACATCCAGGTCACACTGAAGCAAGAGGTGGGCTCTCATGGCCTTGGGCAGCTCCACCCCTGTTGATTTGCAGGGTACAGCCCTCCTCCTGGCTGCTTTCACAGGCTGGTGCTGAGTGTCTGTGGCTTTTCCAGACAATACGGTGCAAGCTGTCAGTGTGTCCACCATTCTGGAGTCTGGAGGATGGTGGCCCTCTTCTCTCAGCTCCATTAGGCAGTGCCCCAGTGGGGACTGTGTGGGGGCTCTGACCCCGCATTTCCCTTCTGCAGTCACTGCCCTAGCAGAGGTTCCCCATGAGGGCTCCGTCCCTGTCACAAATTTGTGCCTGAACACCCACGCGTTTCCATGCATCCTCTGAAATTTAGGCGTAGATTCCCAAACCTCAATTCTTGACTTCTGTGCACCCGCAGGCCCGACGCCTCATGTAAGCTGCCAAGGCTTGGGGCCTTTACCCTCTGAAGCCATGGCCTGAGCTGTACATTGGCCCTTTAGCCATGATTGGGACACAGGGAACCAAGTCCTGAGACTGCACAGAGCAGCAAGTCCCTGCACTGGGCCCATGAAACCATTTTTTCCTCCTAGGCCTCCTGGCCTGTGATGGTTTGAGTTGCCTTGAAGGTCTCTGACATGCCCTGAAGACATTTTCCCATTGTCTTGGTGATTAATATTCAGCTCCTCTTTACTTATGCAAATTTCTGCAGCTGGCTTGAATTTCTCTCCAGAAAATGGGTTTTCCTTTTCTATCTCATCATCAAGCTGCAAAATTTTTAAAACTTTTATGCTTTGCTTCCTCTTGAACACTTTGCTACTTAGGAATTTCTTCTGCCAGATACCCTAAACTATGTCTCTCAAGTTTAAAGTTCCACAGATTTCTAGGGCAGGGGCAAAATGCCATCAGTCTCTTTGCATAGCAAGAGTCACCTTTACTCCAGTTCCCAACGAGTTCTTCATCTCCATATGAGACCACCTCAGCCTGGACTTCATTGTCCATGTCACTATCAGCATTTTCCTCAAAACCATTCTGCAAGTCTCTAGGAAGTTCCAAACTTCCTCACATTTTTCTGTCTTCTTCCGAACCCTGCAAACTGTTCAACCTCTGCCTGTTACCCAGTTCCAAATTCACTTCCACATTTTTAGATATCCTTATAGCAACGCCCCACTACCTCAGTACCAATTTACTGTATCAGTCCATTCTCATGCTGCTAATAAAGACATAACCAAGCTTGGGTAATTTATAAAGGAAAGAGGTTTAATTGACTCACAGTTCATCATAGCTGGGGAGGCCTCAGGAAACTTTCAAGCATGGTAGAATGTGAAGGGGAAGCAAGTCACCTTCTTCACGAGGTGGCAGGAAGGAGAAGCGCAAGCAAAGGGGGAAAAGCTCCTTATAAAACCATCAGATCTTGTGAGAACTCACTCACTATCATGAGAAGAGCATGGGGGTAACTGCCTCCATGATTCAATTACCTCTCCCTGGGTCCCCATCATGATATGTGAGGATTATGAGAACTACAATTCAAGATGAGATTTGGTTGGAGACACAGCCAAACCATATCATGGGGTCTCACTTTATTGCCCCGGCTGATTTCAAACTCCTGGGCTCAAGTGATCCTCCTGATTTGGCCTCCCAAAGTGCTGGGAATACAGGCATGAGCCACCATGCCCAGTCCTAAAGTCTAAATTCTTAACATCTAAAATCCAGAAAATCACAATCACAGGAGAGTTGTACCACGTTAGTTGCATCATGTTAGGTACAACTGTTGCTTTGTTTTCTTTTTATTTGGAAATTATGTATGGTTTAAGGAGGTCCATATGGGTGCCACATCTACAAGGGGTGGACTTGCAGACTTAATTTCAGGTGTCAACTTGACTGGATTAAGGAATCCCTGGAAAGCTGGGAAAGCATTATTTTGGGTATGACTGTGATGGTTTTCTCAGAAGAGATCAGTGTGTGGGTCTGAGCAGACTAGGTGGGGAAGATCTGCTGTCACTGTTTTGAATGTCTTGAATATCACAGAAGAAGTTAAAATGAAAGTTAAAAATGAACAAAATCTTGTCTGCCAAATTATGTAATCATGTACCAAGCACCTCTACACGTAGCACCATGCTTGCCTTCACAAAATGCCTTTTGTCAGATAATAAAAATAGTTCAACAAATTCAGTGGCCTTCTGAGCCAGACACCTTCTGGCACAGAGCTTCCTCCAGTGCTACAAGATATATTAAATCATGAACTATTCTTGATTAGGGATTTGACTGTCAAAAAAGATAAACATATTTGTTTAACATAACAAAACTGGTGCATGTTTCACTTTGGCTGATGAACGGCACTTTCAAAACTGTCCCCAGTGGGTTTTTTAAATCGACTTTATGCAGTTTATGCCCCCATTGGATTACAAAATTCTGTAATTTAAACTGCACGTTTATGGTTTAATAACTGGAAAAAGTGAAGTACTTTATAAAAGCTTATTTGAAGATTTGGATGGCTTTGCAGAAGAAAATAGATTTCAATTGGATCCCCAAATTATAATGACAAGTTTTTAATTAGGTGTGATCAAAGCTTCTAAAAGTGAATTGCAAGTTGTTACCAGTAAAATTTATATCTTCCATTCAGCCCAGCTCATTTGCCAGAAAATTCAGGTGAGTGGATTGGCCAGGCCATATGGCAATGATGAAAATTTTAGTTTAAAAATGTGTCATTTGTCTGTATTGGCATTCCTTCCACCTGATAAAATTCCAGGAGCTTTTGATAAATTAAAACCACAATTGCCTGAAGAAGCCAGAAATATTACATACTGGTTTGAAAATAATGATGTGCAAGGTAGGATAAGAGTCATTTAGGCAATGGTGTTGCTGTTCAATCAAGAGTATTGTTTCTGCCAAATGAGTGGCCTGTATATGAGGGCCTGCAAAATGGATTTCCACATACTCAAAACAATAGACAAGAAAGGCATAGAAGATTGGAAAATGTAACAGGAAATGCTCATGTCAGTGTGTATCAAATTACAGAAGAATTTCAAAAAGAGCAGTGCCACGTAGAAAATGAATGTGAATGTATTTTATGAGGAGAGTCAAATCCTAAAAACAAAAAAGGCAACAATTCATCGTGATGCAAGACTTCAAAATATAGTTAATGATCATGAAAGTCAGCGAGCTATGATGAACTCTGCAATTGCTCATAATCTATCCATGTAATATACTTTTTATATGTCAATTTTCTTTTTAGTGTTTCTTTTTCCATTTTTTCCACTATTTTAAATTGTCAGCATTATTTTTTACAACTTGCTATGCTATGTATTTCATCTTAGTATCATTTCCAATACTGGAGGTATAAATTTTGCAAAGACTTTTAGAGAGTTCTAATTTGTTTTATGCATTTTTTTTTTTTTTTTGCAAATTTGACTCCACAACAGTGTATTATCACAACACTGACTTTGTGTGTAAGCATTGTACATGTACATAAAAACATTAAAATTTCCTCAATAAATGAGAAGATATCCTTTTGCACATTTGCATTTGGGAAAGAGAAAATTCCTTAGGATCTCAGCTCTTTGACTGAATATTACATGGTGACCCATCCCAGCTTTTGATGAATCTGGTCAAAAGACTTAGGTTGTCTGTCACAGTATTCCAGATGACCTAAGTTATAAAGCTGAGTTCACCCAGTTACCAACCACGCTTTTATACATTTTGCTTTTTGACCCATTTCTTTACAAATACAACTCATCTGCTCATTACCATTATACCCGTGAGACTATCGTTAGCATACCTGAGTTTTACGCTTGCAAATATATGCATGTTATTATTGCCTATTGATTGTGTAAAGTGGCCTAGGAAGGGTTCTGTTGTGTTTTTATAAGTTTCTCAAATAAATTCCATCTTAAAAATATAAATAAATGTTTTTTGTTTTTGTTGTTAGACAGAGTCTCACTCTGTCGCCCAGGCTGGAGTGCAGTGGTGCGATTGCGGCTCACTGTAACCTCCACCTCCTGGGTCCAAGCGATTCTCCTGCCTCAGCCTCCCGAGTAGCTGGGACTACTGGCACCCGTCATGATGCCTGGCTAATTTTTTGTATTTTTAGTAAAGATGGGGTTTCACCGTGTTAGCCAGGATGGTCTCCATCTCCTGACTTTGTGATCCACCCGCCTCGGCCTCCAAAGGTGCTGGGATTAAAGGCATGAGCCACCATGTGCTGCCCAATAAATGCTTCTTAAAGAATGTGTTAATAATTTTTTTCCAGAATTGTATTTTGAGAATTTTGTTTTTTTAGGATTGTAATTTTCAGGATTTTAGACTGTACAGATTTAGATCTTATGGGACTTCAACATTTGGGATTATGACGTTCAGGATTGTGTCTTCCTGGGCTGTGGCCCAAACCCGTGTGGTCCAACACTATTTCACACAAGAGGAAAGCAAACCACGTGCATAGATGCAATGAAGGCTTAAATGGGCGTCACGTATAGATTATATCCCAGGAAAACATGATTAAGATGATACATGGCGACTTTTTTTCCCAGTGAAAAAGATCCACATTCTTTTTCTTGTGTGGAATTAAACACAATTTCTGAATCAATGTAAGTGTATGCAAATCACCATATTCACTTAGCTGATGCTCCTTTATTAACAGGAATAGAAGGGAGGTCATTCGAAGAGATGATGGCGCGGGACCCAGGACCTGAGGAAGCTGCAGTGGGTGAAGGGGAGAAACAGAGGAGCAGGGGCTGGAGAAAGAGTGGGAAATCATCAACTACCCTCCTTACTCCTGGTGTCTGGTGTTCGGAACCCAGAGGTCTTCTCTAGGGCCTCGGAGAAGCTTCCAAGTCTGTTCATTTCTCTTTCCCCACGCCTGCTTGTATCACAAATAAAGAAATTATTGACAACTGAGTTCCTGACTAGTTGGCACGATTTTAGGGACCCTTCACCTCATCCGAGCCTCATGAAGGTAGTGGGAGTCCCATGGGTTAGTTAGCAATAGTCCTTGAGATTATTTGGTCATATAAATAATCAAAAAACTCATAGTCATCTTGCTTTTCTCATAATGCCCAGCTGGGGGATGGTGGGGGCAGGGAGGACTGGAGTGAGAAGAGATAGAACCAGAGCTGGCTTTCATGTATGGGACTCTCCAGAGCAATCAGGCCTAAGTACAACCAAGAGGGGTCTTGAAGCAGCTCTGGCGAGGGCAGCCTGGGCTTAGGCCCCAGCTCACACCAAGCACGTCACCTGTCGGACTGAGAAGCTTAAGCAATGTGTTTCTGTTTTTGTTTTTGTTTTCTGGTAAAGAATTCAACGTCATTAGCTACATTCACAATGCTGTGCAGTCATCACCACTATCCATTTCCGAAACATTCTATCATCCCAGATAGGAACTCTGTGCCCATTAGACACTAACCTCGCCCATTTCCACCTCCTGCCATTCCTGAAAACCTCTATTCTACTTTGTGTCTCTATTAATTTGCCTGTTCCAGGTTCTTCATATAGATGGAATCAGGTAGTCTTTGTTTGATGTCTCACTTAGCATAATGTTTTTATCTATGTGGTAGCAAGTATCAGAATTCCCTCCCTTTTCAAAGATCACTAATATTCCATTTTACATCTATACCACATTTTGTTTATCCATCTATCCCTCAATAGACTTTTTAGGTTGTTTCCATTTTGTGGTTCCTGTAAATAAGGCTGCTGTAATGCTGCAATGAACACAGGTGTAGCAGGCAGGTGTGGTGGCATGCGCCTGTAGTTCCTGCTACTCAGATCACTTGAGCCCAGGGGTCCTGAGCTGCAGTGTGCAGTGTTGATCAGACATCTGCACGAAATTAGACATTAGTACAGTGACCTCATGGGATAAGGGACTACCAGGTTGCCTAAGGAGGGGCGAACCGGCATGGATTGGAGACAAAGCAGGGCACAACTCCCAGTTTGACCAGCAGGGGGTCATGCCTGTGGACAGCCCCGCAGCAGGGAGATCCTGCCTGTGGACAGCCCCGCAGCAGGGAAATCGTGCCTGTGGACAGCCCCTCAGCAGGGGGTCATGCCTGTGGACAGCCCCGCAGCAGGGGGTCGTGCCTGTGGACAGCCCCGCAGCAGTGGGTCGTGCCTGTGGACAGCCCTGCAGCAGGGGTCCGTGCCTGTGGACAGCTCCGCAGCAGGGGGATCATGCCTATAAACAGCCTCGCAGCAGGGGTTCATGCCGGTGGACAGCCCCGCAGCAGGGGGTCGTGCCTATAAACAGCCCCTGCACTCCGGCCTGGGAAACACAGTGAGAGCCCATTTATTAAAAAAAAAAGGGGGGGTGGGGAGAGAACACAGGTGTACAAGTATCTGAGTAACTGCTTTCCATTCTTTTGAAGATAGAGATAGGTAGATAAAGATACAGATATAGAGATTTATAGATGTGAGTGGGATTACTGAATCATATGGTAATTCTATGTCTAAATTTTTGAGGAATGGTATGTTTTCCACAGCTGATGTACTATTTTTCATACCCACCCTCAATGCACAAGAGTTACAATTTTTCCACATCCTTGTCAGCACTTGTTATTTTCTGGGTGTTTTTGTTTTGATTTGTTTTGAGGCCGAGTCTCCTTCTGTCTCCAGGCTGCAGTGCAGTGGCGTGATCTCGGCTCACTGCAACCTCCGCCTCCCAGGTTCAAGCGATTCTCGTGCCTCAGCCTCTCAATTAGCTGAGATTACACATGTGTGCCCCCATGCCCGACTAATTGTGTGTGTGTGTGTTGTTTTTTGTTTTATTTTATTTTATTTTTTGGTACAGATGAGATTTCACCATGTTGGCCAGGCTGCTGTCAAACTCCTGACCTCAGGTGATCCCAAAGGGCTGGGATTACAGGTGTGAACCAGCGTGCCTGGCCCCTGATTTTTTTGTTTTTTCTTTTTTGATAGCAGCCATCCTAATGGGTGTGCAGTGTGTGTGTGTGTGTGTGTGTGTGTGTGTGTGTGTGTGTGTTTTAATGTCACATTGGTGATTCTAATGTGTAACCAGGAAAGAAAAGCATGGATTCTGGGTCTCAATTTTTCATCTAGGTAAACCGGAGCAAATAAAACCTATTGAAGAGTTCTCCTGATGATTGAATGAGTTCCCCCATAGAAGGCAAAATCTACAAATGTTTGTTCCTCTCTTACTTCCTTGGAATTCTACTAAACTTCCTGCCTCAACATACAGAGACACTCCCTGAAGCCTAAAACTATGCAGATTTGACACAGGGCTGATTTTAACTTCTGTTTTGCTTTTACCATATAGCTAGCTGCAGATGTCACATGTGTCCTCCATGACATCCAAATAGCACTACACCTGCACCAGCTTTCCTCTCAAATTAACTACTCATCAGTTCTATTATTAAACAAACAAGGAGCAGCTGTAACACTGAACGAATGAGTGGGATTGTGCTTTAAAATTACATCTCTGCCAACACTTTTAGTTTGTTTGTTGAATAACTACAAGTTTTCCAGTTAAATTAATAGAATACATTATACCCATAAAATCCTGAAATACTTGGCAATACACACAACAAAATATTTTACAAGTAGAGAATATAATAAATGTATGACACTTTAGAAATTCATTGAGGTAGGTTTAAACAGTGTTTACTTTTAATTGGTGTGCTTTATTTCATCTCACAGTATTAAGCTGTGGTTTAGTTTATCGGCTGAATACTCACTGTGCAGTCCTTTGTAAAATTTTGGAGGTCCGCAGTAATGTGATTATTGAGCTTCAACAGAATACACAGAAGATCCCAGGAACCACAAACTAATCCATCCACTATGCAGTATCTAAAGTGTTTGCAAAAATAAAAACAAACAGCAACAAAAAAAGAAAACTGAACAACTGACTTGTAGCAAAGCTATCAGGTTAGTGCAAAAGTAATTGTGGTTTTGCCATTGAAAGTAATGAAAGTAATTGAAAGAATAGGTATTCTAGTTGGACATGCTACAATGCATGCCACAACCATGGATCAATTATGTATTGAAAACCCAAACCAACTGAGGATCACTGCTGTGCATTATTCCCATCGTGTCATAATGTGGCAAACTAAAACTAAGGACCTGTAACAAGGGATTTCCAGAGGGAAAGCAAACATTGGTTAAAGCAAAGAAAACTGGCAATTTTCAATGTGCTCAAATCAAACTATTCACATACTTTGTATGCTTCTCTACAAAATCCAGAACTTTTGATAGGATCACCCTTAGGAAAAACTCTAAAGTGAGCAGCTTCTGATCAATAGGTCTCAACTTCTTTTCCCTTCTGTATCACAGACCGTGTGGGTGAATCCATCACATGACTTGATAAGATTTGGCCAGTTGGGAAAGGTCTCTTTAAAGAACTAACACTCAGGCTGGGATCCAGAGCAAAGCACCGTAAACTTGAATGTACATATGAACCACCTGGGGACCTTGTCAACATGCAGATTCTGATTCATTGGATCTAGGGTGGTGCCTGAGCTCTAGCAAGCTCCCAGGGATGCCTATGTGACTTCCTTGGACATCAGTTATAGTAGCAAGAATATAAGCAGATACCAGCCAACAAATCAGGAGTGAACGCATCACGGCCCAGGCAGCCCTGGACCAGGCCAGCTCAGGGATCTGAGAAAAGAGTAACTGGACTGAGGTCTATGAGTGCTTCCATGAGAGGTGAGGCTGAGAAGGTGGACAAGATCTAGGTCAATGTGTTAAGTTCCTACTACATGCAAGGCTAGGCTCTGCATAAACAAAAACAAATAAGGCAAACCTAGTCCTTGCATCTTTAGAGCTTGCAGTCTAGCAGAATTATTTCATGGGTAGAAAATCATTAAATATTTTTTAACGAAGGAGAGACATGATGTAATTGAAATTTTTGAAGAACCTCTCTGGGTGTGCCATAGAGAAGGTATTGGAGAGGCAAAAAGTTGGAAAGAGGAGTATATGTTTGCAGACCAGGTGAAAGATGCAGATGACAGAAGCGGATAATTTTAGCACATATTTTGCAGGTGAAATAACAGTAATTGGTTGCAAATTGTGATGGTAGGGGGGGTTGCAGGAAGAAGAAAGCATCAAGGATGATGATGCTTTCTGGAAGAAGCAAATGGGTAAATGGAGATAATTTTTATGAAGAATGGTAAGGCTGAAAAAGAAATAAACTAACAAAAGGGAAATGATTGAGGAAGTGGCATAGATGTGGGGGCAGAACTCGAGTTTTGAATTCTGATTTTAGGCATGCCTGTGAAAATCCCAGTGGAGATTTCAAGATGGCAGGTGCACATAATGTTTTGGAGCTTGGGAGGAGAGGTCTGTAGGAGTCATATGCATATAAATGTATCTAAAGCCATAGTAATTAATAAAACCTTGTCTAGAGTCTGTGTAGGCAGGGGTGTCCAATCTTTTGGCTTCCCTGGCTACATTCGAATAAGAAGAATTGTCTTGGGCCACACATAAAATATACTAATATTAACAATAGCTGATGAGCTAAAAAAAATCATAAAATATCTTATAATGCTTGAAGAATGTTTACAAATTTGTGTTGGGCTGCATTCAAAGCTGTCCTGGGCCACACATGGCCCACAGACCATGGGTTGGACAAGCCTAGTATGGGATAAGAACAGAAGAGGACCCAGGATTTAGGAACTTCAACATTTAAAGTTTGGGCAAAGAGGGAGAAGCTGATAAGAAAATAGTTCAAGCTAGAGGAAGAGGTCAGGGGTCTACTCTACTGAATGTTCCTGAGACCCCATTGGACTTATATATTACATAAAATGTACAATATATGTTACTTGGGTGATGGATATCCTAATAGCTTTGAACTGACCACTATGCATGGAACAAAATTGCACATGTATCCCATAAATTTTATATAAACAAAAGTAAATAAATGGAAGGAAGGGAGAAAGAGAAGGAAGGAAAGAAAGAAAGAAGGAAGAGCGAGGAAAGGAAAGAAGGAAGGGAGAGCAAGGAAAGGAAGGGAAGGGAAAGGAAAGGAAAGGAAAGGAAAGGGAAGGAAAAAATGAAGGGAGAGCGAGGAAAGGAAAGGAAAGGGAAGGAAGGAAGGGAGAAAGAAAGAAAGAGGAAAGAAAGAGAGAGAGAAGAAAGAAAGAAAAAGAAAGAAAGAAAGAAAGAAAGAAAGGGAAAGAAAGAGAGAAAGAGGAATAGTGTTCATGATGTTTAGGAATCACCAATTCTGGGGGTGCTGAATTGTGTCCCCCCAGATTCCTATGTTGAAGAGCTGATCCCCACTGCCTCAGAGGGACTGATTTAGAGAAGGCATTCAAAGAGGTAAGTGAGGTCCAATGAAGCCATATGGGTGGACCCTAAACCAATATGGCAGGTGTCCATGTAAAAAGAGATTGAGACACAGGCAACACAGCCTGAGGACACAGCAGGAAGGGAGGCATCTGCAAGGCAGCAGTTCTCAGAAGAAGGCAAACCTGCTGACATTCCATCCTGGATTTCCAGTCTTCAGAGCTGTGAGAAGATAAACCACTCAATCTGTGGCAGCTTGTGATGGAAGCCCCTAGCACTCTTATACGGTGACCTTAGCACGAGCAGTTTCATAGGCTTGATGAAAGTGAAAGCCAAACTGACCTGAATAAAGAGTGAAAGGAAAATGAGCAAAAGGAGATAGTAAATGTGGAAAATCCTTGAGAAAAATTTGCCAAGAAAGGAGGAGATGGCTTGATAGCTAGAAAGACACACAGAGTCAAAATCAAGGTTCCTCCAAGATAGAAGATTTTTTAAATGAAAAATTTATATTTAAATGCTGACCAAATGCATCAAGAAGGAGAGAGAATGAAGATGCAGATGACAAATGGAAAAGCAATGAACAGAATCCCTGAAAAGTCAGGAAAAGAAGGGAGATTATTAGAGGGATGTCCTTTTACAGTAAGAGGAATGTCCTTTTACAGTAAGAGGAATACTTCCTCCACTGGCCCCAGGATTTAAAAAGCTTATAAATCACAGGTAACATTCTACCTAATTATAGAGCTTTACGCTTTTCAATAAATTTTGTTGTACATAATACAGTCACTCTATGAATTCAGTGAGACAGATAGTTATCCACATTTTACATAAAAAGAAAGAAAAGGCAGAAAAGAAGTGATTTGCTTGAAGTGACACAGAAATAGCTGGTAGAACCATGCACTGTGTAGATGGCAGGGCTACTGACTTCTCATTTCACACCAGAAATGTAGACAGAATTAGATATAATGACAGTTATTATATTTTTAAACCTTTCAAATAAGAATATCCTTGGAATTCATTAACAAAGCACAAAGCATGTGATTAGCATCTGAAAATGTTTTATTATACAATCACTAGACACAAAAAGAGGTTTCCATTTTCCTGTGTATTTGAAAGAGTTCAACAGCCCTAAGTCACACAGTTGGAGGAAACTCAAACAAGGGAAGGTTCGTTTGAATTGATGAAATTAGCAGGATGAAGTTTACAATACAAAGATTTTTGTTTCAAGACTCTGAGGTTTTGTAGGGAGGAAGGGGAAAGGCAGATGACACCAAATAAGACTGGTCGGAGAGGGGATGAGAAGCATCAATTAGAAAGCTCTTCAAATTCAAAAGGACCGTTCAAACCATCCTAGGACTAGGCTCCAATCGGGAAAGACTCTGAAGGAAATGATCTCCTACTCCCACGAGATGGCTAACGTGATTTAGGTAAAAAGCTTTTAATTTTATGGCTGGAGAGGTAGCAATGAAGAAAATGAACCTCCTGCCAGTGATTCTTTTTCAAGCCCTGCCAATTCCTGTGTCTGGGGAAGCTATAAAGAATGCCCAACCTCATGTCAAAAGAATTGCCACAGATCTCCAGCTCACCTGCATTCAAACATTGAAACATCCCTAAGCCTGCTCCTAGGCCAGCCTGGAACTGAGAATCCAGGAGAGTCTTTTCTGTTCTGCTGCTGCAGCTACACTATCTACTTGTTAGCATAACCAGGGCCACCAGCAACAGATGCTAGAGGAATACAGAGAGCAAAAATCAGCAGCTGATGAAAAGCAGAATCTTTTCTTTTTGGCAGCAATACCAATAGCATGAAGCACTTCCCTTTTGGAGCTTTCCAAACCACTTCAAAAGCGAGTTTTCTGGTGTGGATCAAGAAAGCTAGTCAAATTGCCTCTGAGTGCATAGCCAATGGCCAAGATATTGATGACTGTAGGCAGCTCAAGACCCATCCTCGGCCCTGGTGCTGTCTTTCTCAGAGCTCTGTTTAATTCCATCAGGCACAGGCAGCATTTGCAGAAAGCTGTGTTGATTTTTGTGATCTTCAGCCAGCACAGAGGTGGCCAGTTCCCTAGCCTCCCAGCACCGTCCTTCTCCTGCCCTGCCCCTTCATGGCCTGCCTGGGCTCACTGGACCCAGACTTGCCTTTCGCAGCTGTCAAAACCTCACAGTCCTGTGTGTCTGTTTCCCTTTGAACTACACAAACTAACTAATTTGGTGAACCTATTAAGTGAACTTCTTTATACTCATGGTCTAGAGTGCATTGAACACTAAAGCGTTTGCTAGAGATTGTCAAAATCAATTCTGTCTTCTTCCAACTGGACCAAGGCTTCTTTGAGTTAATAAAACTCTGAGAAATCTGAGTTGATTTTTCGTAGTACCTCTTTCTATTCTTTTGGGGTTTTTTTTGTTTGTTTGTTTTTTACTTTTCATGGAGATTTTCCTTAATTTAACCCAAAAGATATACCCATATGACATTTGAATATGAAAGAGGTAGTAGGACAAAGAATTTGAAGACAGTCTTTCAGAGCCCCACAAAGTACTTGAAATTTATCAATAAACCCCTCCTGGTGCTTCCCACCATGTTCCACATTCCATCTCCATTTTAAGCCATGAACCTTCAAGTGGCATCTCCTCCTGTGAAACCTACAGTTTGGAGATAAATTATTGATGACTAATGACTCAGAAGAACCAAAGAAAGGATCCTCTAGTGGAGACACAGCATAGAAATGGTGGTCCAGGGTGAGAAGGAACTGCTTCCAGTCCCAGTGCCGCCTGTGTGGTTCCAGCTGTGTACTTCTCTTCCTCTAATATTGTTTACTCGTCTCTAATACGGGACTAATAACATATACATCAGACTATTGTGAGGGTTGAATGTAACGATATTCCAAATTGTTGCATGTGTCCAGTACTTAACATAGTGCCAAGAACAAAGCATGTATCAATAAGTATGAACAGCCTTCCCAGCGCACACCTCCAAACAGTGGATTTCTGGCCGGTGACAAGCAATGGTTCCCAGTGGTTCTACAGGTTATGGTTTAACTTACCACTAGCCAATCAGTAAGTTTGCCTCAGACCACATCACAATTCTTTAGCAAGCCTGGAGCTTGGTGAAAAACAAGGGGGAAAATAATCAATGTCCCTAAGGCAGATGCTGAAAGAT
This sequence comes from Homo sapiens, assembly GCF_000001405.40. Taxonomy (NCBI): domain Eukaryota; kingdom Metazoa; phylum Chordata; class Mammalia; order Primates; family Hominidae; genus Homo; species Homo sapiens. The sequence continues at coordinate 40,959,449 of NC_000009.12, forward strand.
TAACCTCATAACATAATTCTCTCACCAGACTTGTTTCCTGAATGTCTATTTAAATTTTTATTCTGCAAATAAAATAAAATTGGTAATAATGAAGGTGATTAAGATGGCATTTGTCCAGGGAATGAATCTCCTCACAACATACCTAAGAAAGAGATATATGTACAGAAAACAAAGCACAGTAAAATACCTCTTCATTACTATGGGAGATTTTCCCCAAACACAGAGAAAGCTCTACAGAGCTGAGCTTAAGCCAGAACTCTGTTATTTACTTGGTCTAATGCCAAAACAGGCCAGAGACCCCTTTCACCTACTTCTCTTTAATCCCAAACCCATGTCTCTGTTTGATCTAAGAAAGAGCCAAATGCCCAGGAGGCGCCATGGTAGAGAAAAGCAGCCAGCCAGAGAGTGACCTCCGTGCCAGGGGAGTGTGTCTAAGCTTTGCTTTATTTTTCTTATTTGTCTGTAGTTGTATGATTGGTAGAAGAGAGTAGATATGAAGTCTACTGACACAGGATTGGTCTTCAGGAATGTCTTACCAAGCATTTGGGGGAACAGAGGGGTTTCACAAATAAGAGAGCAATGATCAGACTTTTTCTAAAAGGAGCAGCCATAAGCTACCTTAACTCTCCAACTTGCCCATTAATCTTCACCTAGAGTTAGGAAGATTTCACCATTAGCTGTGGCCCATAAACGATCCTTAAGCTTGACCAACCACAGAGGTCCATCTCCTTGAGGAGGAAGTGAAAGGGGTATGGATGTGAACTTTCTGTCCTCCGCAGGACCCCAGCTGTGTCTTCTACTTCTTGTACAAGATAGTCTCCAAATGATGTTTTCTGGCTGACAATGCCACAGAACTGATCCTTATCTCACTATGGAAATGAAAGATTTCAAAGAATTTTGTTGCCTGAAATATGGTGCCATAATCACATATTAATAAAGCTGCTATCCAGAAATAAGGCAGATTTCAAAAGAAAGGCTGTTAGCATTCTCAGGGACCTAAAAAGTACATACTGTAGAACAATGGTAAATAGATCTTGGAATCAGGTAGACTTTAATTCAAACCCCAGCTATGCCACTTATTAACTTATGTGACATTGGGAAAGCCTCTCAAATTTAGATTTGCAAAATCAGAATAATATAATTAGCCAACAAATAGGGTTTAATGGAGGTAATAATGAAGGTTATTAAGATGATAAAATTAAATAGTGAATATAAAGTGCTTAGCATTCAATAAATTTATTGTATGATTTCAAAGCACATGCTTTTACCTACAGTGCTATAAAGCTGCTTGCAATAGTCAAAGCTAATAGAAGCTCTCGTCAGAGCTAATAGAAGCCTTGAGTATGTAATTATTTAAGAATTCTGTAAATATACACAATAGGGTAGGAATGAGAAAATCTTTAGAGGAAATATTCAAGTATGTTTGATTTCTAGCAAATCCAGATAGATAGTTTTGGCAACAACCAAGTCATAATTTGAAGTCTTGTTATAGGAGCTAAAATTTTATTCAAGGGACAACTGACTTGATTAGATAAGATGCTGTGCACTGCATGTTTGCATCAACAAATGCACATGTTGAAACTCTAACAATAGAATGGCATTAGAAGGAGGACCTTTGGGAAGTAATTTGGTTTTGATGAGGATGGAGTTCCCACAATGGGGTTAGCATCCTAATAAGAAGAGTAGGAGACTAGAGCCCTCTTCTCTCAGCCATGTGAACATACAACAAGAACACCTGCAAACCAGTAAGAGGGCCTTCACCAGACACTGGTTCTGCTGGCCCAGATTTTAATCTTTGAATTCCCACAACTGTGAGAAACAGTATGTGCTGTTTAAGCCACTCAGTCTACAGTTGTTTGTAGAAGCAGCCTGAGCAGACAAAGACATAGGGTTCCTTTTATTTTCAGAATTCGGTTTAGCTGTAATCACCTACCATCCTGAGATGCTGTTTCCTCCCTCCTCCCTTGAAATATAAGCTCTGGAACTATAGCTTCATGGACAAATTCTGAAGAATTTGTCTTTGCTCTTGTGGGATGCTAACCTAACCAATCAAGGAATATTTGCTCAATGGAATGAAACGTCTTAATGCAGCTCGCCAGCCAATATCTGCAGAGCACACCTCATGGGTTCTGGCTGGCTTGGATTTCTGAGACTACTTCATCCTACTCATCAGACTGTGGACTCAGATTCAGCCAGGAGGCCCAGATTCTAGCGTCAGTTTTGCCCTTGGGATACAAATGCACGTCCTGCTTCACTGAACATGAAACCCTATTTGGCCATTATTCTGTCAATTGTCCTTTCTCCCTGTGCCAATTGCCAATCAACCCAACTCCCAGGCAGCCTTGGCAGTTATGTTTGCTTGTCCTGCTGTAGCAGCCAATGACTTAGTAAAAGTCAGAACATAGATCTGCTAGCTCCCAGTCCAGGATTTCCCCATAACTCGTCCATGTATATATTAAACAATTAGCCTTGCTTTTAAAATTCTTTTTCATTTAGCCTCTTCTTAGAACTTATCATTTTGAGAATCCTGACCTGCCAATGTTCCATAATCTTTCTGAAAGTGACACAGCAAGTACGATGCATGCACACTGCTAACTGCAGCTGATTTCATTTTCCATCATCTACAAAGCACATAAGGTAATTTCTAAACCAGCAGTAAAATCTATTTATAAAGATGCTGATTTGTTTTCTGCACTTTCCAAAACAGAGCTTCAATTTATTTCCCTAACATAAAAAACCATTACTTTTTAAAACAATCATAGTTAGTATATTTTCTAAATGTTTTAATTTTTGTAAAATCCAACTTGCAAATTGGAGTGTAAATAGCTTTCTTAAAATGAAAGGGACCGTGTTAGACCCAGTATGCTGATTGATGACTTCACTGTGCTTCAAAGCAGACGATTTCACAGTCATTGGGTATATAATGCAATGAGTTTTTATAAAGTAATTGATATCACTAAAAATATAACTATAATAAATAAAATTATAGGGAAAATGAAATCATTCTGACAATGCCAAATTTTTTAACTAACTCATTGCTAAAAGATTATGTTTCTACATGAAAAATTTTACACATTCTTTCTATGAGATAAACCTGATAACATCTTGAAAACTTAATAGTTATGGAAAAGTAACTACTATGATTTTTTTTAGAGAATGTCGTGTTCTTGGTGTTCTTGAGTGAGCGGTCTCATGTTATTAGAAGGGAAACAGCAGCACCTTGTGGACAAACAAATAAAGTGAATAAATTTTTAGGACCCGGTGCAGTGGTTCAGGCCTGTAATCCCAGCACTTTGGGAGACCTGGGCGGAGGGTAACTTGAGCCCAAGAGTTCAAGACCAGCCTGGGCAACACAGTGACACGCCGATCTTTACCAAAAATTGAAAAATTCTCTGGGCTTCCTGGCTCATACCTCAGGTCCCAGCTACTTGGAAGGCTGAGATGGGAGGATCACTTAAGCCCAGCAGGTCAAGGCTGCAGTGAGTGTGATCATACCACTGCCTTCCAGCTTGGGTGACACAGCAAGACCCTATTTCAAAAAAATTATATTTATGTAGCACTTTCTACAAGGAATACAGTATCATGTTTGTATTTAAATGACATCAGGACCAGCACGGTGGCTTACACCTGTAATCTCAGCTCCTCAGACGGCAGAAGGCAGGAGGATCGCTTGAGGCCAGGAGTTGGAAGACCAGCCTGGACAGCATAATGAAACCCTCATTTCTACAAAAATAATAATAGTAATCAAAAGCTAGACGTGCTGGCACACACCTGCAGACCTAGCTACTGTGGAGGCTGAGTGGAAGGATCACTTTGAGCACAGGAGTTTGATTGTATTGTGTATTATGAGCTACGATCGAGCCACTCCGCTCCAGACAACACGGCAAGACCCAGTCTCTAAACAAAATAAAGGAACATCAGAGCATTGTTTATAGAGATGTATAAATGATCCCAAAATGTCTTCAGGGAGATAAATCATCTAAATATAGCTATATCGACTCTTCCTAAATTCCAAATTTCGGTGGGAAAAATAAATGAGATAGAAGACTTCTTGAAATGTATCAAGACTCAGGAAGACAAAACAAAAACTTTCATTAGGCAGTATCAAGAATGTTCATTAATGCTATTTCTAATTTATGATACGATCATCTAAAGAGGAGATCCCAGCAACAAGAGGCCAAAGGAAAGGGAAAAGAAATGAAAAGAACGACCATACTTTCTACACATCCAACCTCTTCTCTACCACCTCTCAGCAAGACCTCCCACAGCCAATCACTGCTTTCTCTTGCGGACTTAACCTCTACTCTGTGAACACATGAGCCAGAGAACCCTGAGAAGTCCCTGAGTCCCTTCCAGGGGCTCTGCAAGGTCAAAAGTCTTTTCATAAAAATACACAGGTTTTTGTTTACCTTTTCCACTTTTATTCTCTCACAAGTATAATTGGACTTTCCCAGAGGCTACCTGACATGGGATGTCACAAGAAATTAAACATAGAAGCAGAAAGGAGAACCAAGTTTTCTTCTATTAAACCAGACTTTAAAGACATACCTAAAAATATAAAACAACGTCACTGTTCTCACCAACTTTACTGCTTAAAAATGATAATTTTAAATAAAAATGTGATTTATTTGTAAACATATATTATTTTATTTGTTTTAATTTCTCAGTTTTAATGTTTAACATGATAAATATAGATAGATAGAATCCAAATAAATAAATGCTCTTTGGGGTCCTCAATAACTTTTAAAAATGTAAAGTGTTCCTGAAACCAAAAAGTTTGAGGACTGATGCTCTAAAGCTCATACCCTTTGATGTAGCTTCCACCCAGGTCATTTCTTAAATACTTGATCAATCATTTCCCATGTCCCTCACCCTATACTTGTTGCAAAATTCCATTTTCCTACTCCAGCCCTCCCTGTCATGAGAAAGTTCCCAGGTGGTAGACATGATTCACTAAATCTTTCTTAACAAAGCTTTATGATGATAACATGACATATACAAATTGTATAAATTTAAGGTAACTTAATGTTTTGATATTTCTATACTTTTTGAAATGATCACCACAATCAAGCAAATTAGCATATTATCTCTACATATTTACCATTGTGTGTGTTGACAGTAATTAATTTATGATCTAGTCCTTTAGCAGAACACAAGAATATGATACAGTGTTGTTCCATGTTGTACATTATATCTCCAGAAATTATTATAACTTGAACATTGCACAATTTAATTAACATCACCCCGTTTCCCCTCCCTGAGCCCCTGGCAACCACTGTCCTATTCTCTGTTTTTATGAATTTGACTGTTGTAGATTCCTCATGTAAGTGTGATCATGAAGTAGTTGTCTCTGTGCCTTGCATTTTTGCTTGGCGCAATATCTTCCAGCTCCATCCATGTTTTCACAAATAGAAGGATTTCCTTCTTTTTTAAGGTTGTATAATATTTCATTTTATGTATACACGTCACATTTTCTTTACCCATTCATCTGTTCCTCTGCCAAAGGACACTTAGGTTATTTTCATATTTTGGTCATTGTGTGTCATGCTGCAATGAACAGGGGATGACAGACACCTCTCTAAGACTCTTATGTCAATTTCACTGGACATACATCCAGAAGTGAAATTGTTGGATTATGTAGTAGTTCTTTGTTTTTATTTTTGAAACCGGGTCTCACTCTGTCATCCAGGGTAAAGTCCAGTGGCAAGAACATAGCTCACTGCAGCCTTGAACTCCTGGGCTCAAGCGATCCTCCTACCTCAGCCTCCTGAGTAGCTGGGACTACAGGTATACAACACCATGTCTGGTTAATTTTAATTTTTTTTCAGAGATGGGGTCTTGCTATGTTACCCAGGCTGGTCTGGAGCTCCTGGCCTCCTGCCTTGACTTCCCCAAATCCTGGGAATACAGGTGTGAGACACCACACCAGGCCAGTGCTATTTTCAATTTTCTTTGGAGGAACCTCAATACTGTTTTCTGTGTTTTACTAATTTGCATTCCCGTCAATAGTGTATAATGGTTTTCTTTTCTCCACATTCTTACCAACACTTATCTTTTCTCTTTTTGATAATAGCCATTTTAACAGGTGTGACATGATATCTCATTGTGGTTTTGATTTGCATTACTCTGAAGTTTAGAGATGTTGCGAACATTTTCATATACCTGTTAGCCATTTGAGTTTCTTCTTTTGAGATGTATTTATTTAGGTTCTTTGCCTTAAAATAAAATTAGGTTATTCATAATTTTGGAATTGATGTGTATGTGTCCTTCTTACTTTTTGAACTCCTTATAAGAGATATGGTTTAAAACATTTTCCCCATTTCATAGGTTGCGTTATCATTTCATTAGTTGTTTTCTTTGCTGTGCAGAAGCTTTTTAGTTCGATGTAATTCATTTATCTATTTTGCCTTTGTTGCCTGTGCTTTTGGCATCATATCTAAACAAATTATTGCCAAGACCAATATCAAGAATGTTTTCTCTTGTCTTCTTCCAGGAGTTTTATGGTTTCAGTGATTACATTTAAACGTTTAATCCATTTTGAGTTAATTTTTACATAAGGCGTGAGCTAGGGATCCGATTTCATTCTTTTACATGTAGACATCCAGCTTTCCTAACACCATTTGGTCAAGAGCATATCCTCTCCCTATAGTGTCTCCTTGTCACCTTCCAGGGTGATCAATTGCTGCAAATGTGTGGGTTATGCCTAGGTTCTCTATTTTGTTTCACTGGTTTATGTGTCTGTTTTTATGCTAGTACCATAGTGTTTTTTCTTTCTACAGCTTTATAATTTAATTTGAAGTCAGGAAGTGTGATACCTGTAGCTTTGTTCTTGCTCAAAATTGCTTCTGCCACTCAGGGATTTTTGTGATTCTATATGAATTTTAGGATTTTTTTTTTCTATTTCTGTGAGAGATACCATTGGGATTTTGATATGGATTATATTAAATGTGTAGATTGCTTTGAGTAATATGGACACTTTAATAATACAGTACTCTTTCAATCCATGGGTTGTCTTTCAATTTACTTTGGCTTAAATTTCTGTCATCAATCTTTTATAATTTGTAGTGTTTAAGTCTTTCACTTGTTTGGTTAGTTAGTTCCAAAGTAGTTTATTTGATACTGTTTTTTAAATTTCCCTTTCAGACAATTCATTGTTAGTGTTTAGAAATAGCAATGATTTTTGTATGTCGATTGTGTATCCTACAACTTTAGTAAATTTATTATATAGTCAGTCCTTCATATCCATGTGTTCTGCAACCATGAACTCAATCAACTATGAACAAAATTTGTACACATTTTCCATCTGTGGTGGTTTGAATCCACAGATGTGTACCCATGGATACATAGGGCCAACTGTACATGATTTTATGTGAGGGAGTTGATCATCACAGATTTTGTTATCTGAGGGGGTCCTGAAACAAATCCCCAGCAGATATGAAAGACTGACTATATTATTTGTAACCATTTTCTGTGGAGTCTTTACAGTTTTCAATGTATAATAATCATGTTTTCTGTTAACAGAGGTAACTACATCTTTCCTTTCAATTTTGATGCCTTTTATTTCTCTTGCCTGATTGCTCTGGCTAGGATTTCCAGTACTATGTTGAATAGGAGTGATGAGAGTAGACATCCTTGTCTTGTTCCAGATATTAAGAAAAAGCTTTCAGTTTTTCCCCATTGATTATAATATTAGATATAGGTTTTTCATATACAGCCTTTACAGTGTTGAAGTAAGTTTCTTGTATACTTATTTTGTTGAGAGTTTTATCATGAAAGTATAATGAATTTTGTCAAATGTGTTTTCTGCATCCATTGGAATGTTATTTTTATCTTTCATTCTGTTAATGTGGTATATCACATTATTAATTTTTACACATTGAAACATCCTTGTATCACATAGATAAGTTACAATTGGTCATGGTGTATGACCTTTTCAATGTGCTTTTGAATTCAGTTTGCTAGTTAGTATTTTACTGAGAATTTTTGCATCTATATTCGTTAAGGATACTGGTCTGTAATTATTTTTTCTTGTGTTGTCTTCGTCTAGCTTTTAAGTCATGGTAACATCGGCCTCATGAAATGAGTTTGAGAGTATTCTCTCTTCTATTTTTTCTGAAGAGTTTAAGAAGTTTTGGTGTTAGTTCTTCTTTGAATGTTTGGTAGAAGTTGCCCATGAAAGCATCTGCACCTGGGCTTTTCTTTGTTGGGAAATTATTGATTACTGATTAAATCTCTTTGCTTGCTTTTGGTCTGTTCTATTTCTTTTTTGTTCCATTTTGGTAGATTGCATCTTTCTAAGAATTTATCCATTTATTCTAGGTTATCCAATTTATTGGCATATAATCGCTTAATTGTCCTTTATAATCATTTGTATTCCTGTACATTTCCTATAATGTCTCCATTTTCATTTCTGATTATATTTACTTGAGTTTCTCTTTTTTTCTTAGTGTAGCTAAGGGTCTGTTATTTTTGTTTGTATTTCCAAAAATTCAACTCTAACTTTGTTGATTTTTCTATTGTTTTCTATTTTATAGTTATTTTATTTATATTCTCATCTTTATTATTTACTTCATTATGCTAACTTTGGGTTTAGTTAGTTTCTCTTTTTCTAATTGTTTATTTGTAAAGTTAGGTTGTTCGAGTTAGATCTTTCTTATTTTTTAATGTAGGTATTTATCACTGTAACATTTCCCTCTTAGCACTTCTTTTATTGAATCCTGTAAGTTTTGTTGAGTTGTATGTTCATTTTTGTTTGTCTCAAGATATTTTTAAAATTCCCTTTTGATTTCTTCTTTTACCCAATGGTTGTTTAAGCATGTGTTATTTAGTTTCTGCATTTTTGTAAATGTTTCTGTTTTCTTTGTTATTGACTTCTAATTTTATTCCATTGTGGAATGAGAAGATACTTGGCATTATATCAAACTTCTTAAATTTGTAGTATGCCTTGTGACCTAAGATTTGATCTATCTCAGAGAAGATTCTGTGTGCACTTGAGAAGAATGTATATTCTGCTGCTGTTGGATGGAAAGTTGTGTATCTGTCAGTGTTTAATCTACTGTGTTGTTCAAGTCAGCTGTTTCCGCTTTTTTTATTCCCTCCTAGATGTTCTATCCATTATTGAATTTGGGGTACTGAAGTTGGCTACTATTATTTTAGTGTTACTGATTTCTCCCCTTAGCTTTGTTGATATTAACTTTATATATTTAGGTGTTCTAATGTTGGGTGGATATATATTTTCAATCTTCCCATTGGATTGAACTTTTATCATTATATAATGACATTCTTAGTCTCTAGTGACAGTTTTTTATTTCAAGTCTATTTTTTCTGATCTAAATATAGATACCCTTGCTCTTTTTTGTTTACCATTTGCGTACAGTATCTTTTCCCATCCCTTCACTTTGAGCCTCTATGTATCTTTATATCTAAAGTGACTCCCTTATAAATATGTACTGATGAGTATCTTTTATGCATTGTGCCACTCTATGTCTTTTAATTAGATAGTTTAATCCTTTCACATTTAAAGTCATTGTTGATAGGTAAGGAGTAACTTGCGTTTGGTTAATTGTTTTTCATATGTTTTGCAGTTCTTTTTTTTTTCCCTCTCTTGCTGTCTTCTTAGTTTGGTTATTTCTTGTAGCGGTTTGGTTTCATTTATTTTTCTTCACATTCTGTGTAGATCCTATAAGCTTTTAATGGTTGCAAATTTACATCTTCTATAAACAGATGTCTTAATGTTATCAGCTTTTTTGGAATCATTTTCTTTCTGTTTCCTCTTCAGACATATTTGCAAATACTGTTTTTCAAGACACAAGTAAATAGGGCTCTAGTTAAAAATTTAACAATACGAAAAAAAAGATCCTCTGAGTCTTTTGATAAGTTAGAAAATAATGATAGACTGCAGTAGAATGTCATGTATTTCAAGTTCTGTCATCTATGTTACTCTGCAATATATTTTCTGTGTGTATTAGTCAGTTATATATTTATAAGGTAAATCCATAAAGCATACATTCTAGAATGCCCTAACTTAAGTCCTTAAGAGATATGCTCCTCATAGCCTTCTTGGCACTCCTGAAGTGTTAAATATTTCCATTGAAGAAGGTTGTATATGGCTTCTGAGATGAAGTCTAGACAGATTAGGATTATTTTTTGCTCCTTTTGCCCACACAGCACCCACTGTCCCCTCCCTTTGTTATTAGCCATTATCTGATACCCTAGATGAAGCCATCTTCTATCCTTCAGTTTTGGCGTGGTGGCTGATTTCACCCCCAGTTTCAGGAATAAGCACAGGACAGCTACTAACAAGTATGTTGTTCACTCAAGGAAGAAACCCAGCTAAGGGAGAAAGGGGGGTTGAAATCCAGCCTGCATGCTCTTCTCCAAGCCACATGCCCTGATACAGGGCTGCATCTAACTGGAGAAAGGGGAGCCATTTTCTAATACTTGCAAAGGCACTGTGTGGACAGTGGAAACCCTGTATGACCTCGTGACACAGGCCTGGCCAATGAATATAATTCTAATCCTGGCACAGATGAAACTAGAAATGGACATGAAATCCAAGCCTCACACCCAAAGTCAATCTCTAGTCTCTTATTGAAACTATTAGAAGTGTTTCTGTTTTTGCTTTATTCTGGGGCTGTGGAACTAAGGAAATGTAAACTGGAGGAGTGATGATGGCCACATTGCAGCACAAAGGGAAAACTTGTCTGAGAATAAAATCAATGGGGAAGAAAAAAGCAAGGAAGCTGAGAGGAGCCAAGTCCTGAGTCCCTACATTCAGCCATTCTGAAGCTACACCCTGGATTTTTCCATTATACGAGTCCACAAATTAATATTTTTTTTTTGGCTTAGACCAGTTTGAGTTTGAATTCTATTATTTATAACCAAAGGAGTCCTGCCATATTATCTTAGCCGGATTTTCATAAACACGGTATATGTTGATCAACAAACTTCCTAAATGTTTCAAGTTCACTTCAAAGAGTGAGGGGAAAAAAGAAAGAAGTGGAAGAAAATAGTTACTTATCATCCACAGTAGTCAAGGAAGCTTCAGAAGCATCAAGCAAAAGCAGCAGAAGTTAGCTTTGTACTCCCACAAACCCTGCTCTGAAGTACTCCGCCTAGTGGCCCACAGCAGAAGCTGCATTTCTAAAATCTTTAAAAAGACAGAAAAGGAATCGCCACTTACCCTGGGAACCCTAACAGGGGAGCAGGCCACATGGGAATATGTCCCATTGGTTTGAGGTCGATAAGTCCATTTTCAAAGCTTTAGTAATTCCAGAAACAAGAACATATTTATTTTACTTTGATCACACAATGCCTAGTTATATTAAAAGGAGATATTCAATAAATACCTTTTATGGAAATAAAAACAGACAATTTAGGAGAAAATTAACTATCGATGCATTGTTTTCAAAGGTAAAGAAAAAAGAAATTATTCTGAACACACAAAACTATTTTATCAAGTATCATGGTAAATTATCATTATATACTAGGTCACTTAATAAATTTCCAGAGATGATTGGAAAGAGTTTCCACAATAGATTTTGTTTCACCCCAGGAAGAAGTTTCACAAAAAGTTAGTTACTTATCTCCATTGTTACTAGTACCAAACTAATCCTATCATTCTGAGTCAAATTACAAATAACGTCCACACTTTTCTCCAGTGAGATCACAGGAGATGCCTAAGTGGAGTGTGTTTTAATGTGAGGGGATAACTGGTTTATATTTTTCACTGAAAATAACAAATTCTAGACAACTTAAGCAAAATAGGAATTCGATGAAAGGATATTGAATAGTTCACAAAATCACTGAAGATGCTGGAGAAGCAAGGTAAGAACTGAGGGAAACTCAGCACAGCCAAGTTCATTCGATGGAAGCAGATCTTGGGATGCCACCACTAGGATGTTGCCATTTGACACTTGTCACCATGTAGCTGGGCTCTGCTGAACCTAGGCCCTTGCTGCCACATTCCTGGACCTGCATCTCTGCTCAATGTCTCAGAATCATCTCTGATTCTTTCAGGTCTTTTGCATCATTTCATCGGGTTCCAAGTTCTAATAAAGAGACATCAGTTGGCTGGGCCTAGATATGTGCCCACACATGAGTGGCCAAGAAACTGGAAAAAGGATCATGCACTCCTTTCAGCTTTTGTAATGGAAGGTGGGGCCTGTCCTCATATTTCGCTTGGGGTTCAAAAAACTAGGAAGGGTGTTTTGTTGAAATGAAACCCGAAACTATAGCTATCCATTTATAGCACCTTATTTGTACAGGAAGAAACCATGAGACAAAATGTATAAAAGTGCATGGGAGGTATAAACATATGAGGGGGTTTCTGAGGAGAGAAAGATCATACTTGATTGGTGCTGTGGTTTCACTGTGCCTCCTCCAAGATTCAGCGTTGACAATGTGATAGTGTTGATAGAGGTGGAGCCTACAGGAAGTGATTAGGCCATCAGGACTCCTACCTCAGGAATGGGTTTAGGAGCCCTCATGAAAGGGCTCCATGGAGGGAGTTCATCCCTCTTGCCCTCCCGCCTTCCACCATGTGAGGACACAGTGTTCCCTGTCTCTGGAAGATGCAGCATCAAAACACCATCTTGAACGGAGAGAACAGCCCTTACCAGACATCAGACCTGCCAATGCCTTGATCTTGGACTTCCTAGTCTCCAGAACTATGACAGATAAATGTCTGGTTTTCATAAATTGCCTAGTCTGTGTTATTTTGTTGTAAGAGCATAAATTGACTAAGACAATTGGGGATTAGAAAAAGTTTTTTGAAGTGGCATTTGAGAAGGGCTTGATAGATAAGATCTCTACAAATAGAAATAGAGAGATGGTTTGAAATCACCCAGGTGAAAGGAGTAACACAGCCATGTTCAGTCTGAATGCAAAACGGAGATGGTAAAAAGTACATAGGATTCCACCACCAGTGGGAGGACAGAATTGCAATGTGGCAGCAATCTGTAAATATAATATTTATCACTCACTCACATTTATTTAGAGTCTAATGTGTTCTAGGCTCTGAAATTAAGCAAAGAAAATCTAGATATGCATAAGTCCAAGACTTTGCCTTTGTGACAGTCAAAATAATGACCCCATAAAGATGTTCTAGTCACTGGAATCTGTGACCATATTACTTTACATGGGGCAAAAGGGACTTTGGAGATGTGATTAACCCTTGAGTTAGGGGGATTATCCTTGATTATCTTGGGAGCCAATCTAATTGCATGTGTCTATAAAATCAGATAATCTTTCCTAGCTACAGTCAGAAGGTGATATGGCTACAGAACAATGGCCACAGACATCCCACATTACTAGCTTTGAAGATGGAGGGATGGTCCCATGATCCAAGGAATAGGGACAGCATCTAAAAGTTGGAAAAGGAAATGGATTCTCTCTAGAGCCTCCAGAAAGCAATACAGCCCTGACAACACCTTGACTTAAGCCCAGTAAGACCACAGTCAGAGGTTTGCCCTACAGAACTATAGGGTCGTAAGTCTTTGATTTAAGCCACAAAGTTGTGGAAATTTGTTATGGCAGCAATAGAAAATTAATTTTAAGAACTTTATTATTTGGAAGATAGGCAGACCAGAAAATCCAAATTATAATATAATTCGATTAAAACCTGTGGAGATTTGGGCTAGGTGTTTTAGAAAAGAATTGAGTATTAACAGACTAACAGAAGAAATGTTCTAAAATTTACACACTAAGTACATCACATTTTTCTAATGATCACTTTGACAGAGCAACGTTGATCATGTTGATAGATCACGTTGATAGAGCAATCCATGGTTTTAACAAACCAACAGGCTTATATACATATATATAAAATACTATATATATAATATATGGCATAGCCCCATGGGCATGGGTAGCCCTGGGTCAAAGGGCGGCACTGTACTAGCAGCCCACACCCCACCTCACCTGCCTACCCTGAGCTGACTTGTCTGCTAAATTATAAATAAACCTGTCAACCTGTCTGTTTTAACTTAGAAGGGCCTGGATGCAACAAGCCTGAGGGCTGTGACTGGGGGAAGAGAGAGCACAGACGGAGCTCCTCCTCCTTCTTCCACTGCCCACCAACTGAAAACCACCAACTGAAGTATGCTTAGATTCTCAGCCTATACCTTGTTCCCAACAAAACTCATGCAATACTTTGGCCCCCACTACAATCTCTGGAATAAAATATTCTACAGATCTGCTTTTTGAGCTGCAACTTATCTTACTAAATTCCAAGAAGCTTATGTAAGAGAAAACCACCAGATAATACAAGATTTTCAATGTGATCATCATTGCTACTTTTAACTAGAAATTATCCAGTAAATGTATTGTGAACTGCTTTGTGACTATGGTGATTTGTTTAGTCTTTCTGATCCTTGGTTTGATTATCTCAAATATATGAGTATCACAAATTTTATAAAGTTGCTCTAAAAATTAAATGAAAGAAAAATAATCCTCCTTCTCCATATATTGAACACTTACAAAATTATAGGCATTGTGTCCAGGTTTTTATATACTTACCGGATACAAGTCTCCTAACAATGCTCTCTTTTAAATTACAAGCATTTTGCCATGGTATTTACCCATGTACGTTATGGAAGCCTCGTAACAATCACATCTTTTATAGATCGGCAAACTGAGGCTCAGATGAGTTAAAAACACATTCACCATCAAATCATAATGAGGGATGGAACTGGGATTCAAATCCGGTTCTCTCTGATGCCAAAAATGGTGCAATTTAACGAGCACCAAGTTACAGCCAGAACATGGAGGGATCAAAATATGTGGATTCCCTTTTCTGCCCCCTCATGTGGGAATTTCAATAGCTTTCACTGCCTCAGAGAAATCCTAAACTCCCTCCCAGGTTGCCTTGCAATGGCCCCCTTATTCGTGGGGATGATTAGAAATCTGCATTTTTGGACCACAAGCATCTATAAAGAGTTGTGTTGATCAAGAAATAAAATTTTCTAGGCCATAGGTTACTGTGAATTATCTAGCTTCTCTGCAAAAAATAAAGGGGCTATTCCATGTAAAAAAAACACAGGATCCACTGAATCTGTGCAGAAAGACATAGAACTATATTGCAGAAGCATCTTACAGACAGCTGCACCTGAAGACCAGCCGAAACACACAAAGCAAGAGCACCTCCAATGACCAGGTGTGGTGGCTCTTGCCTGTCATCCCAGCAGTGTGTGGCCAGGGGTTTGAGACCAGCTTGGGCAACACAGTGAGACCTTGTCCCTACAAAAAAAAAATCATTTTTTATTATTCGAATCAAGAAGAGTACCTCTAACCCCTTGCCGTTGCTTTAGGGTTGATAGCTCTGGTCTAGAACTCAAGATATGAAACTGTGAGTCCCAGTGTAGCTACTTAAGTTTAAATACAAGAACCGTCAGACATTTCCTCTAAAGCAACGAAATCTGTAGCATCCATTTTGTACTTTGAAAACTTAGTTTTTGGCCAGCCTCTAGGAAGAAGAAGAGGGCCCATAACTGGGCATATGGGTAGGGAGGAGAAAAGAAACCAGCTGGATGCAACAGGGAAAGACCAAGGGATGGAGACGCCAGGCAGTGCCAGTCCTCATGCTTGGGGCCTGGGCCTAGGAAAGGAACTAGGTGAAGAAGGGAGGAGCCCCAGGCTGTGGATGTCTCTGGGGGAACCTTGGTTCAGCAACGGCCAGAGGAGCTCCTGAGGCCAAGCGGTATCTGTCGCCTCCCTACCTTTGGGCGTCTTCTGGTCTTCAATGTGCTGCAAGTCATGGCTCCGGAATCAAATTGGGCTCAAATTGTGCGAGCTCCAACGCAGTGGAGCCTGGCGCTACTCCCACCTCCTCCTCGTGGATCTCAGAGCTGCAGGATGGCTCTGCCCACCGCACCCTAAGCTGGCCCCGCTTGGGGCTGGCATTGGGGGACAGCATGTTCTGGGCATCTCTGCTCCTTTCTGCTGGTGCCTGTGCCTTTGCTGGCCGACGACTCATAGATATCAGAGCCACAGGACGGCCCCGCAGAACCCCTGCGCTGGCCCTGCTGGGGGCTGGCTTTGGTGCACATGCGACCCGTCATCGTGGTCCCCATGGGGCATCTCTGCTCTTCTCGAGGCAGCTTGGGCCTTCGCTTGCCCCTACGTCTGCAGAGCTGAGCACCTGCCGCCTCTCCCCAGGAAAGGCAACCAAATGCCACCAACTTAAGGCACCCACTGAAGGCCACCAACTGAAGGCCGGTTGCCGTGCCAACCTGATCGTGTCCTGCTTAGGAAGAACCAATCAGGCCTTGAGTTCCCTCCACGCGCTGCCCTTCCATTTGTGACGTGGGAGTCCAGGCACTGGCTCACAAAGCCGCGCCCCCCAGCGACCCCGCCCCACCTTTCATTTATTGGTAGCTGGTAGCAAATTTCAGGTTTCCTCACTGTGAATTATGGATATGAATTATGATGCAATTACTATATCCTAATGTACCTCATGCACTATCTGACCACCAAAGTCCCCTCTTCCCCCATGGCCTCTGAGTTTTTTGGAAACTAGAAAGAAGATACATTTCTGCAGGTGCTTTCAGAAAAAAACATTGCCACGATCTAAGGTTACTCTGTGATGTCAAGTCATATTTCTTATGCCATACATATTCATATTTATATTCATAATTCAAAATGCACATATTCAATCAAAATAACAGGACTAAAAAGGAAATTTTCTAAAATTTATACACTAAGTACATTATATTTTTCTAATGATCACTTTGATAGAGCAAACTTAGAATCTATGGTTTCAACAAATGAAGAGGCTTATGCAAGAGAAAACCACCACCTAACACAAGATTTTCAATGTGATCATCATTGCTACTTTTCACTAGCAATTATCCAGTCAATATATTGTGAACTGCTTTGTTACTATGGTGATTTATTTAAACTTAGTGATCCTTTGATTATCTCAAAAATATGAATAATACCAATTTTATAAACTTGTTCTAAAAATTAAATGAGAGAAAAATAATCCTCCTTCTCTATATATTGAAAACCTACAAAATTAGTAACATTGTGTCCAGATATTACACACTTACCTTATTGAAGCCTCATCACAACCCCGTCTTTTAAATTACAGGGGTTATTCCCAGATTTTTAAACACTTACCTTATGCAAGTCTCATAACAATCCCATCTTTTATAGATGAGCAAACTGAGGCTCAGATGAGTTAAAAACACATTCACCATCAAATCATAATGAGTGATGGAACTGGGATTCAAATCCAGTTCTCTCTGACACCAAAGGTGGTGCAATATAATGAAGACCAAGTTATATCCAGCACATGGAGGGATCAAAACATGTGGATTCCCTTTCTCTACCCTCTTACATGTGAATCTCAATGACTTTCACTGCTTCAGAACAATCCTAAACTCCCTCCCAGGTTGCCTTGCAGAGGATCCCTTCATTTTGGCGACGATTAGGAATCCGCATTTTTGGACCACAGGCATCTATAAAGAGTTGTGTTGATCAAGAAACAAAATTGTCTAGGCCATAAGTTACTGTGAATTGTCTAGCTTCTCTGCAAAAAATAAATGGGCTATTCTCTTTATTTTTTACTATTCCACTATTGACAATAGCCTAGAATCAACCTAAGTGTCCAAGAAGTCTTGGTTTAACCCTGAGGATTACTAGTGTTTTCACTGTGGTCATTGTGGTAGATTATATTATCATTCTCCCATTATCTGGTCTTCCTACTGCAGTAACCCTATCTCCTAGAAGATTATACATTTCTGTCCTATTGAAGGAAGGGTCAGATTTAGATATGTGACCTGTTTGGCCACTGAAATGCAGGTAGAAGTGGCATGTGTAACTTGTAAGCAGAAAATTTCCTTTTTCAAGGATCTGGGAGCCATCCCTTTCAAATGTAATCCTCCAGAAAGATAATACCTTATTTCCCAGTCTCCATGAGAGAGTAAGAGCCTAATCTTGCTCCAAGTTGTAAAAATTACCTTATATCATAAAGATAAAAGAAAGTTTATTTTTCCTTTGAGAAAAGACAGTTAGCAAAGACAGGTGGCCTATGATCGCCCCCTTACCCTCACTTTCAAAAACTCCACGGCCCTTTGTATCAGGGGAGCTGAGTTCAGACTAGGTCTGGCCTCTCTCCTGTATTGCAATAGCCTGAATAATATCTTCCTTACTTATTTAACTTTTTCCAGTGCAATTTTTTCTTTGACTCTTTCCTCCCTCTCTAAAACTTACATTGAAATTTTAGTAGGATTCAAGGCAGCCAATCTCGACCCTTGAATATGTAAAAGAACCCTTTAAGATTAAAAAACCCATGTTATCTTCCATAAATTATTTCTCCAGACTATTGGCTTATTAAAAGTTTCTAGTTCTTATTTTTGCGTTGAAAAGGAGAATGATGATTTTTAAATAAGTTCCTACTCACTTTTAATTTCTACTATCACAGTTTTATTGCTTTTCATGGCAATAGATTCCTCTGGTTCTACAGGAAGGCCAGAACAAGGAAGTGCAGAAACATCTCAATATATCTCAAAAAGTTATTTAACATGGACAGTGTCATTTAGTATCTTTAACATCTTTATCAAACGGATGCTATTATTATCCCCCTTTTACAGGATATTAAAACTTACATACTGTAAATAACCAGCTGAAAGTCATATAGCATGGAAAATACAATAAGCATACAGAGAAGCAATGGCATTAGAAGTGGAGGAGGGTGAAGGATTAAAAGGCTAAACTTAGTTTGGTTAAGAAAAAAGAAAACTAGGAGGTGGCAAACTCTTGTTGGAAAGGGGAAGGATTTGGGCAGAGCAAGGTAGTGGAGTCGATCTCTCCAGTAATCATACCCCTATGGACACATCTATATGAACAACTATCCACATATGAAATTACCTTTACAAGAGCTAATGAACCCTGAATACATGAGTGAGTCTATGAAGCCCCTTTGGACTGCAAAGAGGAGTAAAACCATGCTTGGACAGTAAGGGAAACAGTACTCTGTGACTGTGATACTTTTCCCCCTGGACATAAAGGTATTATATGCACAAAGTCCTCCTGAACTCACAGTTCTTACACTGAATAAAGTGAGCAGAAGTTGAATATTTTTTCCACCATACTGAGTGCCTTCACAGTAGACTCACTCCTGCATCAGCCCACAAGCAGCACCATGAGTGTCAACAGAGCTGAACCACCAGAGGCATGCTAGGGACATAGAGAAGGGATTGGGTTAGCGATACTTACTATATGAAACTTAGCAGTGGCTAGCCATTCCTACCAGAGGAAACATTATACCAGACAGGTTGTTTATGGGCACCACATTGTGGGAAACATGATACACAGACTGTCCAGATTTGATGGCCTGACTTGTTCTCCCCCAACAGACAGCAGCCTTTCTGTGGATCACCCATGGGCCCATCCATTTACATTGTATCAGTGGTGAAGCCCTATTGCAAGACTTATGTCTAACCTTTGCTTTGGGCACCTCCTAATGCTAAAATGGAATATAATGGAAATCCACATAGAATTTCTAAACAAGCCCACTGAGAAACAGTCAAAAACAAACCCAGACTGAGAAGATTGAAATAAATATTTAATTCATCAATGTGTAGAAAGAGATGTACATCTACAAAAAATAAGAATAGCCTAGGAAAAACCGCCTCACCAAATGGAGAAAACAAGGTGTCAGCAACTGAACCTAAAGACATGCAAATGAATGATGGGGCAGACAAAAAAATTCAAATAGCTGTTTTTTTTTAAAAAAAAATCTGTGCACTTCAACAAAGTACAGAGAAACAATATGGAAATTTATGAGAAATTCAACAAAGAATTTAAAATAATGGGAAAAAATTATGCCAAATCATACCAAAGAAATGTTAAAGAACAGTCTTCAAACTGAAAGAAGAGGGCACTAATTTGTAATACAAAAAATTGGAAGGTATAAATCTGCAGGTAAAAATAAATATTCAGACAAATTCAGGATGCTCTAATATAGTAATAATTGAATGTAAACCACTTACATGTTTTTAGTAAGAAGGTTAAAATACAAAACAAAAATAATAACAACTACAATAATTTGTTAAGAGATAAGTGATATAAAAGATGTAAATTAAGACATCAAAAATGCAAAATGTGGGGGAGTGATTGAGTTAAAGAGCAGAGTGATTGCTTTTCCCCATTTCTTATTATCAAAATTAAGTTGTTATCCATTCAAAATTACCTATTGAAACTATAAAATATTCTTCGCATGCCTCATAGTAACCAAAAGGCAAACATTTTTATTAGATACACTAAAAATAAAAGAACAAGAAACAAAAACACACAGAGAAAATCACTTAACTACAAAGGAAGACAGCAAAGGGACAAAAAGGTACAAAAATTCTAAAAGACAACAAGAAAACAGTATATGGCAGTACAAGTCCTTATCTATCAATAATTACCTTGAATGTACATAGATTAAATTATCCAGTAAGAAGACAGAGAATGGGTAAATGGATTAAAAACAAGACCTAACTATATTCTTTCTACAAGAGACTCCCATCACCTGTAAATACACACATAAATTGAAAGTGATCAGATGGAAAAATATATTTTATGACAATGGAAATCAAAAGAATGCAGAAGTAGTTATATTTATATCAAATAAAATAGACTTCAAGTATAAAAAACTGTAAACACAGACAAACAAGGCCATTATGTAATAATAAAGGGGTCAGTACAACAAGAGAATACAATAATTGTAAATATATAATGCCCTCAACATTGGAGAACCTAAATATATAAAGCAAACATTAATAGATCTAAAAGGAGAGACCAAAAACTGTACAATAATAGTAAGAAACCTCGACATCCCATTTTCAGCAATGAACAGATCATTGAGAGAGAATGTCAACAAAGAAACATTTAAACTGCACTCTAGATCAAAAGAATTTAACAGTTATTTACATAACATTTCATCCAACAATTGCATAATTCACTGTCTTTTCACCTGCATATGGAATATTGTCCATGATAGATATGTTAGAGCACAAAACAAGTCTTAGCTAATCAAAAAATCAAATCATATCACTTGTTTTTTTGACCATATGGAATAAAGCTAGACATAAACAACAGGAGGAACTTCAGAAATTGTGCAAATACATACAAATTAAACAACATATCCCTAAACAACCAAAGGGTCAATGAAAAAAATTTAATTTTAAAACGTCTTAAGACAAATAAAAATGAAATCAGAACATATGAAAACTTATGAAATACAGCAAAACAGTTCTTAGAGGGAAGTTTATAGCAATACATTTCAACATCAATAAAGAAGAAAGATAATGAATAAAGCATCTAACAATGTATTTCAAGGAACTATAAAATCAAGAACAAACTAAGACCCAAATTAGCTAAAGAATATAAAGATCAGAGCACAAATATACAAAATGAAGACAAAAAATACAAATGAGTCATTAAATGAAGGAATCTTTTTTGAAAAGGTAAAATTGACAAATGTTTTGTCAGACTAAGAAAAAAAGAGAAAATTCACATAAAATCAGAGATGAAAAAGGATATACTATGATAGACTCTAGAGAAATATAAGGAATCGTGAGTAAGTACTACAAACAATTATATGTCAATAAATTGAAAAACTTAGAAGAAATACGTATGCTCTGGACACATATAACCCATCAAAATTGAAGAAAGAAGAAGTAGAAAATGTGAACACACCAATGAAAATTATTAGATTGAAGGAGTGATTTAGGCTCTCAGTCAAGAAAAATCCAAAAGACTTTACACAGTAGCTCACATCTGTAATCTCACAGTTTAGTAGCCCAAGGCAGGAGAATCACTAGAGGCCAGGAGTTCAAGATTAGCCTGGGCAACACAATGAGACTGCATCTCTAAAAATAAAAATAAAAATTCCCCAGGTATAGTGGTATGTACTTTTACTCAGGAGGCTGAGGCAGGAGGATCACTTAAGACCAGGAGTTTGAGGCTGCAGTCAGCTATGACTGCACCACTGTATGCCAGCCTCAGTGATAGAGTGAGACCCT
Organism: Homo sapiens; assembly: GCF_000001405.40. NCBI lineage: Eukaryota > Metazoa > Chordata > Mammalia > Primates > Hominidae > Homo > Homo sapiens. The sequence continues at coordinate 40,981,462 of NC_000009.12, forward strand.
GTCTCTAAAAAAATAGAGGAAGAAAGAAAAGTTCATGACTTGGTGGTTTTTGCTGACAAATTCTACAAAACATTTTAAAAACTTATACAAATTATTTACAAACTATTTCAAAAAAATGAAAAGGAGGGAACTCTTTGAAAACTCCAGGCCAATATCATTGATAAACATAGATGCAAACATTCAAAACCAGCAGTTCTAGCAATGATAATTCAAAAGCACATTAAAAAGATTATTCACCATAATCAAGTGGTATTTACCCGGGGAGGTAAGGATAGTCTAATACATGTAAATCAATAAAATGTGATACATCGCATTAAACAAAGAAGGATAAAAAGCATATAATCATTTCAATAGATGCAGAAAAAGCATCTGACAAAATTAGACATCCTTTTATGATCAAACCTTTTAACAAATTAGTTATAAAACAACATAATAAAATAAAGACCATATGTGATAACCCACAGGCAACATTATACTGAATGGTGAAAACTTGAAAGCTTTGCCTCTAGGATCTGGAACAAGACAAGGATGTTCACTTTAATCACTTTTTTCAACATAGTACTGGAAGTCCTAGTCATAACAATTATGTAAGAGAAAGAAATAAAAGGCATCCAAATTGGAAAAAAAAGTCAAATTGTCCCTCTTTGCAGACGACATGATCATATATGTAAAAAACCCTAAATACACCACTGAGAATCAGAAATAGTAAATGAATACAATAAGGTTTCAGGATACAAAAGCTACATAAAAATTCAGTAACATCTCTACAACAATAGCAGACTATCTGAAAAAGGAATCAAGAAAATAATCCCATTTAAAATAGCTATAAAAAACCAAAATACCTATAAGTAAATTAAGCCACAGAAAGATGAAAATTATTAAACATTGATAAAAGCAATTTAAAAAATTAAAATAAATAGAAAGATATCCCATGTTCATGGACTAGAAGAATTAATATTGTTGAAATGACCATACTACTCAAATCAATCTATAAATCCAATATAATCTCTATCAAATTTCCAACTTCATTCTTCACAGATATTAAAAAATATCTTAAAATCCATGTGAAACTACAAAACACCCCAAATAGCCAAATAAATCTTAAGCAAAAAGAGCAATGCTAGAGGTATTACACTATCTAATTTCAAAATATATTACAAAGCTATCCTAACTAAAACAGCATGGTATTGGCATAAAAACAGGCATGTAGACCAGTGGAACAAAAATAGAGAGCTCAGGCATAAATGCACATATTTACATGAAACTTATTTTAGACAAAGGTGCAAACATTCAATTGGGAAAAGACAGTCTTTTCAACAAATGGTGCTGGGAAAAGTGCATATCCACATACAAAAGAATGAAAGTAGACCCCTATATCTCATCATATAAAAAAATCAACTCAAAATAAATTAAATATTTAAATGTAAGACCCCAAACTATGAAACTAGTAGAAGAAAACATAGGTGAAATGTTATATGTCATTGGTCTGGGCAAGGACTTTTTAGAAAAGACATCAAAAGACATGCACAACAAAAGCAAAAATAAACAAATGGGATAACACCAAATAAAAACTTCTGCACTGCATAGGAAACAATCATGAGAGTGAAGAGACAACCTACAAAATGGGAGAAAATATCTGCAATCTATTCACTTCATAAGGGGTTAATACCCCAAATTTATAGAAAACTCAAACAACTCAATAGCAAAAATACAAATAATTGGATTAGAAAATAGTCAAGATAGCTGAATAGACATTTCTCCAAATAAGACAAAAAAATCACCAACAGGTATATGAAAAAATGCTCACCATCACTAATAATCAGAGAAATGCAAGCCAAATCCACAGTGAGATATCATCTCACCCTGCTTAGAATGCTTGTTATGAAAAAGTCAAAAAATAACAAATGCTGGCAAGGATGTGAAGAAAGGGGAATGTTCATACACTGTTGGTGGAAATGTAAATTAGAGCAATTGTTATGGAATACAATATAACTTCCAAAAACATTAAAAATAGACTTATCACATAATCCAGCAATCCCACTACTGGGTATATATTCAAAGAATATTAAATCAGTATGTCAAAGAGATTTCTGGACTCTCATGTTTATTACAGCACTATTCACAATAGCCTAGAATCAACCTAAGTGTCCATCAATGAATGAATGGAGAAAGAAAATGTGGCATATATGCTGTATTTGGTCATTCTTGCATTGCAAGAATAAAGAAATACCTGAGATTGGATAATTTATAAGAAGAGAGACATAATTGGCTCCTGGTTCCATGGGCTGTACAGGGAGCATAATGCCAACATCTGCTTGACTAGTCAGGAAGCTTGGGAACTCGTTCACTATCATGAGGATAGCACCAAGCCATGAGGGATCCACCTCCATGACCCAAACACCCCCTACCAGGCCCCATCTCTAACAGTGGGGATTACAATATAACATGAGATATGGGTCAGGACAAATATCCAAACTATATCATATGCACATTTGGCCATAATAAAGGGTAAAATCGTGTCACTTGTGACAACATGAATGAGCATAGACGACATTGTGGTAAGTGAAATAAGCTAACCACGGTAAGACAAATATCACATGATCTCATTTATATGTGAAATCTAAAAACACTGATCTAATAAAGAGTAGAAGAGTGGTTACCAGAAACACTGATCTAATATAGAAGAGTGGTTGCCAGACTGGGAAAGATAGGGAGGAGAGGTTTTAACAATGCGTCATGTATTAAAATACCACATTGTACCCCATCAACATGTGAAATTATCATGTATCTACTTAATAAAAGCAAAGAAAAAAGAAAATGGAAGAGTCAAGATACTGAGGCACTGGAAGAGATAGAAGAGAAGGTGAATTGACAGTAAGGAAGAGTCTGAAAGAGCAGGTCACAGAGTGGAACATTAAAGTTTATAACATTAGAAATCAATTTTTAAGTGATTGAAAAGTTAAGTTTATAGCCATGAAAGTGAGTAGCTCAATTGAAGTGAAAGTAAAAGTCAATGAAAGATTAAATTAGAAAATATATTGCTTGGCATTTAGTAGTTACTTCAGAAATATTAATAAATCTTAAGAAAATTAAGAACACCAAAGCATTCATAGTGGGCCATTATCATAATACGAATTTATGTGGTAATATTTTATTCTTTCCAGTGAAGGGAGTAATTCAGTCTTGATTACAGGTTAGAAAATGATTTCTCCAGGTGTGACCCACTGACCACATTCATTGTATTTGAATTGCTTGAGCAATTTGTTTCAGGAGAAAATGGAAAGATTTTAAGATGGACCAACGAAATTACCACTGAGTGTCTTTAATGGAAATCTCAGCCTTGTCTAGAATAACCTGAGTTATCTGTTTCTATGGGGTCTCTGTGCCTTTTGTTTTCTTTGTTATTTGCAATTCTGTTAGTTGTAGATTACTGATAGTAATGCAAATATTCATGTTTATAGACAGGCAAATGATTGATTTTGGTGGAAGTATAATTAATTTTCCTTTTCCCACCTTCCATCAAGAATTCAGTTTTGAACCTATCAAGCAAATTTATTTCAGTGTTCCTTAGTGCCTAGATATGTGTGGCTCTTTTAATTTTCCATAAAACTCAGTATAACATCTTACTGGCTCCCTCATTAAACAAACGAGTTAAACAAAAATCTTAGACAAGTGTTCATTTTATATTTGTAAGTTATAATTTACCCTATTTTAAGCAATTTTCCTTTATCATTCCTAAAAATACAGATTCCTATGCCCCATGCTAGACCTATTGAATCAAAATCTCAGGCCTAAGGCACAAGAATTTACATTGTTAGTAAGCTTTTCAAGTGATTTTTAGGCATACTAAATTGTATTAACCATTACCATTCTAATTATTTAAACTTAAATTATTGTATTTATAATTCCATCTTCATCAAAGTAAACTTTTGGTTAGCAAAAACGGTAGAAACCCCCTTATTCAATCAGATTGGGACCAGTAATAAACAGATTAATCAGAAATTTAAGTTAGCTGGAGGAATCATAAGAAGTATTAGATGTAAGTCCTTAAAACTTAACTTTAATTTAAAAGACATGTGTAAATAAATTTGCCAGAATTTTGATGACAAGGTCAAACCCTTGCACGGATTCGGAGTGGAGTTTCTTGTGGAAACTATGCCAATGATATGTTGTCATTGATTTCTTGTTCACTTTCTGTGAAGACAACTGGGGTAAAGCAATCTGAAATCCTAGATTACACAATTTTTCCCATTTGTTTCTAGTTGTCTTGCCAACAGTTAAGCTGACAGCAACTGTTGAGTTTCTCATTTTTCCAACATATTTAGTTTATTTCTCAGAGAAACAACAATACTACTCTTGTTATACTCATTTTCTCAGTTTACGTAATATTTATTTATTTATTTATTTATTTTGAGACGGAGTCTCGCTCTGTCACCCAGGCTGGAGTGCAGTAGTGCGATGTCTGCTCACTGCAAGCTCCGCCTCCCGGGTTCTTGCCATTCTCCTGCCTCAGCCTCCCCAGTAGCTGGGAGTACAGGCACCCGCCACCACGCACAGCTATTTTTTTTGTATTTTCAGTAGAGACGGGGTTTCACCGAGTTAGCCAGGATGGTTTCGATCTCCTGACCTAGTGATCCGCCCATCTCAGCCTCTCAACATCATATTTAATTAAATTGCATAACTACAAGAACAAGAACAAATGGCGTAAACATATTTAGGAATGAACACAGCTTCCTCTTAGAAACTGTACAGTTTCTGTGATGGAAGGAGAAATGTACAGGCATTAAAAGTAGCTCAAAGGCTTTCCATTTGCAGTGGACATCAGTCAATAAGTTGTACAGGGGTACAAGAAAGTGCTGATTGTAAATCAGTTAAGTGGAGGTCAGTTAAGGCAGCATCCACTGTATCTTAATTTGTAAAGTGAATGTTCTAAAACTGGGTTCACTTTTGCTATAAAGGACCAGATGAAAAATATTTTAGGCTTTGCAAACCATACGGTCTCTATAGCAACCATTCAACTCTACCATTGTAGCAGGAAAGCCCCATAGATCCATGGATGTGCTCCAATAAAACTTTATTAAAACAGGCAGCTGGCCTGAGGGCCATGTATATATCTTGCTGTTTTCATACAATTTTCTAAGTTAGTAGTTCGCTGCCTTTCTAATAATCAAGGATTACTTTTAATCCCCTCCTCTGATTTTATGTTTCAAAAGCCTTAAGAAAAACCCACAAAATATATTTATTTTGTAATTTTGGGGGGGTTCTTATTTTACTAATAAGTAATCAATGATATATAAAGGCTACCCATTAGGTCAGTATGAAATAATCAACATTATTAACTCTAATGACTTAGTACTGGATAGAAATAAAAAGTATTCAACTATATACATATAACTTAAAACCTGTATAGATTTTTCTGGTGTAAATATATAACTTTTTGAGATTTTTCAAGTATTAAGTACAATTTTTAGGAATCCTCACACCTGGCTCCCTATGATGACATTCAAGAATTCCTTAGGATTCTGGGAATCTTAGAATGAAAGTCACTGCTCTGTAGGAATGAATGAATGAATGAATAAGAAAGGGAAGGAAGAAGAAAGAGCAGGTCTACTAAATGTAAATTAATCATCAAGGAATGTTTATTTATTAATAAATTTGTCAACTTTAGGTTGCCAAATCTAACAAGAGACCAACATGGCATTCATGGTGATCATACCTCTAGTCAAATTTTATTTTAGTTCATTGGCTATACTATTAATATCCTGTAATACTCAAAAATTTTGTCTTAATTCTATGAATAATTCACTTATTAATCACCCTATACACTACTTAATGAATGGAATGGTGCTTGGAATAAAGATAATTATAGGGCTAAAAGGGTTTTCTCTAGAGGCAGGTTATAGGATTTTTTTGTCTGACTGCAATAAAACAAAATTAATCAATATTTTCTGCAGCCAATGGCTTTTGACTTAGTCGTCTATTAATATCTATCAATCACTATAACCTCAGTCCTATTTCCTCCATTCTTCTTTTTGCTATCATAAAAACTGGTCCATTTTTTTCCTGTTAGATCTATATGTTTCACCTCTTTTCTTTTCATCCAAACAACTGGTCATCAACTTAGTACAGATAATGCAATTGATCCAAACCCTATAGAACTCACTGTTTCAATTTACATAACTTACATAACTGTCAAGCTGAAATCACTCTCAAATTTTTTAATTCAAAATTTTAATTTCATTTAATCATATTTATTTATTAATTAATTAATTTATTTTGAAAATAATTTTAACTTGTATTTTACATTCAGGGGTACATGTGCCAGTTTGTTACATGGGTATATCTCATATTGCTGAGTTTTGGGGTATGAATGATCCCATCATCCAGATGCTGATTTGGTATGGTTTGACTCTGTGTCCCCATAAAAATCTCATGTTGAATTGTAATTCCCAAAGTAGGGGGAATGACCTGGTGGGAGGTGATTAGCTCATGAGGGCAGATTTCCCCCTTGCTGTTCTTAGGTGGTAAGTGAGTTCTCATGAGATCTGATGGTTTAAACATATGGCACATCCCCCCTGGCTCACTTGCTCTCCTGCCACCATGGTAGAACGTGCCTTGCTTCCCCCTTCACCTTCTGCCATGATTATAAGTTTCCTGAAGCCTCCCAGCCATGTTTCCTGTACAGCCTGTGGAACTGTGAGTCAGTTAAACCTCTTTTCTTTATAAATTACCCAGCCTCAGGTAGTTCTATATAGCAGTGTGAGAACAGATTAATACATGAGCATAGTACCCAATAGTTTGTCAAACCTTGCCTTCCTCCTTCTCCCCTCTAGTAGTCCCGGTGTTTATTCTTTCCATCTTTATGTCCATGAGTACCCAGTGTTTAGCTCCCACTTATAGGTGAGATCACGTGGTATTTCATTTTGTATTCCTGCATTAATTTACTTAGGATAATGGCCTTCAGCTGCATCCAAGTTGCTTCAAAGGACATGATTTTGTTAATTTTTATGGCTGCATAGTATTCCATGGTGTGTGAAATGGTTTGGAAGGTGGCCCCTATAAATCTCATGGTGAAATGTAATCCTCAGTGTTGGAGGTGAGGCCTGGTAGGAGGTGTTTGGGTCATGGGGGTGGATCTCTCATGGCCTGATGCCGTCCTTGTGATAGTGAATTCTTTCAAGATCTGGTTGTGTAAGGGTGTGTGGTACTTACCCCTACTCCCATTCTCTCTTGCTCCTGCTCTGGCCATGTGAAGTACCTACTCCCTCTTGGCCTTCCATCATGAGTAAAAGCTCCCTGGAGACTCCACAGGCGCCAGGCAGATGCCGTCACCATGCTTCCCGTACAGCCTGCAGAGCTATGAGCCAATTAAATCTCTTTTCCTTACAAATTACCCAGTCTCAGGTATTTCTTCATAGCAATGCAAGAATGGCCTAATAATACTGTGTGGATGTACCACATTTTATTGATCCAATCCACTGTTGATGGGCACCTAGGCTGACTCCATGTCTTTGCTATTGTGAATAGTGTTGCGATGAACATGCAAGTGCATATCTCTTTTTGGTAGAATAACTGACTTTCTTTGGGTCATATACCAGTAATGGAGTTGTTGGCTTGAAAGGAATTTCTATTTTAAATTCTCTGAGAAATTTCCAAACTGCTTTCAACAGTGGTTGAACTAATTTACATTCGCACCAATTATGTGTAAATGTTCCCTTTTCTCCACAGCCTCCCAAGATCTGCTGTTTTTCGATTTTTTAATAGTAGCTATTCTGACTGGTGTAGGATGGTATCTCGTTTTGGTTTTGATTTGCATTTCTCTGATGATTAGTGATGTTAAGCCTAATCTTTGCCACCAGAAAACTGGGAAAATACAGTGTCGCTTGTCAAAATAAATTGTTTTACTTTGCTTTAAAAATAATCAATTGAGTAGTATATTTCTTCCAGCAAAATTAAGAAGTAAACATTTAGAAATGTACAGTACCTTGCTGTTAAGTCTTCGCATAAGTATACCAATCAAACATAAAGGCCACCTTAAACTTTCATTTGAAATGAAAGACAATTTTTAAGAGGTTAAGGGCTAGTAATTTGTTAAAGTCCTGAAGTTAAATTAGCTCAAGTAAATATAAAGACTTTCCTTTAATTAAAGCCTTTTAAATGAACACTTTAAAGCATAGTTGGTTTCTCCCTCAAATCTTGTCCAAAGCCACTGTTTACAACTCAGTATATCAAAGAAGGTTTCAGACATGATTATGAAGCTCCCTCAACTTACAATGTGCTATTTGCAACCCTAGATGCTATCATTCTGGCTTTTCTACCTTTTAGCAACAATAAGCACACCCTTCCCATTTCTCCCCCACCCTGACTTACCCCTCTTTGCATTTAATAGATAATTTTTCTCAGAGTGTTCTTACACATCTTCAACTGTAAATATGACAAAAGCACACAGTACAGTACATGTGCCACATGTATAAATGTTGTATCTAGTCATACAATTTTCCTTTTAAAAAAGAAATATTTTATTTTCAAAAAGCAAAGACTCTAGGAATCTTTTCTAGCTGCCAGTCATAAAAACATAAATTTCTGGTTAGAGTCCCAAATTTCCCTGACCATAAGAACCACTTGTGGTATTTGTCAAACACATGTATTCTGAGTTCCATCCGTGATCTCCTGAATCAGAATCAGCAGGAGAGAGGCCTGGGAATACACATTTTAAACAAACGTCCACAGTGATTACGATTAGTCAAGCTTGAAAAAAATTTCACTAGGATCATTATGACTGAATAACCTCACAAACATAGGAAAGTTACTGGAGAAAAATACGAGCAGAATTTCAGAATTCTACCTTTGCTGAAAGTGTTTGTTCCCTCCTCCTCTACTCATCAAGACCTGACTGCTTATGTAACTCCCCCAAACCACCAACACCTGGGAGGAGTTGAAAATGATTTTAATGAAGAAGAAAAGCTGATGTTTAATTTCAAAACTGACGGTGACAATAGAAGGGAGAGGCATGAATTTATCTTGATTCTAACACAAAGCATTGTATTTGAGTCAACAAACAAAATTGGTTTCATTTTTATTTTTTGTAAGTTTTCACCAAACTCTATGCATATATAGAGGCTGGGCAAGAAAGAAAGAAATCCAGAAATATGGCATATGCCATCCCTTATTTATTTCCCCATGCGACCAGCCAACAGCTTCTTCAACTTGTCCCTGCTTCAAGCTGACTTGGTGTCTACTCTGTCAGAAATGGAGCTTCCCTAAAGACTGCCTCAATGTCAGTTACCCAGAGGCCTTTTTTCCATCTTGTGTTCCTAAACTTCTATGATATTAAATGATATTACCCTTTCTGGAAATTCTCCTTAGCTTTGATTTTATAATTTTACTCTGTTTCATTCCTTCTTTTATAGCCTTTCTTTTCTCTATCCCTTTACTGCAGACATGTTGTAAGGCTTTGTTCTTGACCTTCTGATCTCTCCACATTCATTCCCTCAGAGCATGTATCCATTTTCTTGGTGTCAGCCTTCCTGACTATCTGATTATTACCATCATATAACGATGTTGGTGATGAGCATAGCTAACATATCCTAGGCATTTTCCATGTAGGTTATCATAAGCACCCTATATAATTTGTACCATTTAATTCTTCAACCCTAAATGATACTATTACGGACCACATTGTATGAGATGAGGAAACAGATTTTCATCAAAACCATGGAAAGCCAACGTGAGGAGCCCCTGTGTGTCTCCTTTGTTAATGCCTCTGGGCATCATGGCATGTAGATTGCCCTAGAATGGGGATTAGGAAGCGCAGCACTGTGAAAACACCAGAAAATACGTTATGATAGCGGGTAAGGACGCTCATCTCTGCCCATTGAGATGGTTTTGTTTCTGAGTCAGGTTTGAGATGAGCCAATCCTGACTCCATGGTGCCACCAGGGATCACGAATTTAATAAGATCTTCGTGGATGCTTGGAACCCAACTGATCTCTGTTTTCTACTTTAGGGAAAGAGCCACAGCTTAAATGGGGTGGTTTTGGTGTCACATAAGCTATCAATAATACCCACGTTTTGGTGTCACATACGCGATTAATAATACCCACCGCTGCAGAGGAATCACCGTGGACTACTGCTCGTTTCATCCCATGCTCTTGCGATGGATCCCTCTCACCTGTTTACTGATTTCATTCAAATTCTTCAGCGACCACAGGACCCCGACTTGCCTTCTCTATCCTGGTTCCCATCACGCTGCTTTACAGGCCTGGCCTGCTCGCGGCTCCTCACACCAGCACTGTGCGTCTCCCTCCACGCCTCTGCCCTGTTTCCTCCATCAGACAGGACTAGCTTCCTCCACCATAACTCTCCACCTCAGCCCACATTCCCACAGCACTCGCGACATCCGCGGCCCTCAACATGGCGCTTCATTCCATTTTAGGGTATTTCCTCCTTGTTTCCTGCACACACAGTCGCGCGAGGCACAGCCCCGAGTGACCCGCGCACGAGTGGCCTGCGCTCCCAGACGCGCCGCCGCAGGCCGGCGAGGGCACCCTGAGCCGCTTCCCGCCCCCACGGGACCGTCGCCAGCCCGCAGCTCTAGCGGGAGGCAGTTCCACAGCGTGCCCGGCAGCCCCGCCACCGTCAGCACCGGCGCCTCGGGCGGGCTTTCCCCACCTCTGGGAGGCACGAATCCTCAGGGGCTCCTCGAGAGGGCGCCAGGGAGCAGATGCGCGCAGACACCTTTCGGCCCTCTGCAGCCGCCATAGCTCCCCAGCAGAAACCCGGAAGTGGAAATCTCAGCCATTCAGTGTTTGGGTGAAGACGGAGGCGGGTTCTGGACAGACCTACGCTGTCGGGGAGTGTTTACTTCGCCTCCACTTCTGTTCCTCCCCGCCCTGGTGCTGCTCCAGGTCACATACTCTTCCTGAGCCGGCTTCAGCCTCTCCGCGCAGAAGTCTCCCGGAGCCATGGCCTAGTATTCTTATGTGAAGTCTACCAAGCTTGTGCTCAAGGGAACCGAGGTGAAGAGCTGGGTCCTGCAGCTCCGGCGGGAGCCTCCTCAGTTCTTTTCGGACGCACTCCACCCCCGCGAATCCGGTGGAAGCCGTGATGCGGAGAGCCGGCTTCGTGGCCTCCCAGGCTTCGCTCTGACCCTGTCTGGGCTGGATGGAGGCCGGACCGCCCTTCCTGGCGCCTGTGCAGAGAGGGGCAGCCTCCTGCGCGGACGACCCTGGAAACAGGATAGACGGGCGGGTGACCCGTGACCCCGTACCCACGAGTTTGGGTCCCTTGAGGCATCTCTCCAGGCCTCTGCCTGGTGGGTCTGCGTTAGTCTGATCTTGTAGTTCATTATAATAACTTCCTTTATTAGGAATTATTCTTTTCTCCATTGTCTCTTCCTGGAAAAATTATTAATTTTTTTCTAAGCTAATATGTAGAGTGAAACCAGGATGAATCACACAGTGGTTGAGGTGTATATGGACTTTGATAGGGATATGGGCTGGAACCTGCACTCTGTCATTTACTAATTTTGTAATTTGTGGCAAATTGGTTAATATGTCTGAACTTCCATTTACTCATTAAGAGATCAAGTATCTTTGAACCTCCGTTTACACATTTATACTTTCAGACCATTTTTTATACCTTTAGAAGACTGTGAGGATTAAATGAGAGAACATACATGCAGTAAATAAATTGAGCCAAATGTGAGGAGGAGGTTGTAGTGGTAATTTATTAGCTCTTTAGGAGAAAAATACCTGTGCATTCATATCCCCGCTTCTTTTTTAACTGGCAGATTTGCCTGAGGTTGACTGTACATGCAAATATTGAGCTTTCCTCCTGGCCTCCGTGATAAACAGAAGTTTTGATATTGTTAGGCGAGATGGAAAGAAAGTATCAAGGAGTGAGCTGAAGCCACTGCCCTTGAGAACCCTCTCGAGGAGTCTGGCCTCATGAAGATGCCAGAATAAATGGCAGGTATATCCTGAATGAATGTGAGATTTTTACTCTGTGAATTTCCTGTGAGGAGTGGTGAGTTATCTTCTGAAAACTTTATGATGAAAATGCAGACAAGAGTATCTTAAGATTATCGTAATAATCATAATTAATGCTTATATAGCACTTTCAATGCGCCAAGAAATTGTAGGCATTTTGCACATTAACTTTTTTCAAATCCCTCTTGGGTTTTTATTTTTTTATTGCGATGTAATTCATAATTATAAAATTCACCCTTTTGTACAGTCAGTGGTTTTTAGTATATATCCAAGAGGTTCACCACTGTCTAGTTGCTCAGCATTTTTGTCATCTCAAAAGGAAATCTCTTCCTACCCATTAAAGCTGTCACATCCCATCTTCCCCCTCTCCTAGTCCATGGCAACCACTAGTCTGCTATCTATGTGAAATTGCCTATTCTGAATATTTCCTAAGAAATCATGTAACATGTGGCCTTTTGTATCTGGCTTCTTTCACTTACAACATTCTTGAGGTCCATCATTGTTGTAGCACTTGTTCCTTTTTATGGCTGCGTAGTGTAGTCCATTGTATGGATGTAATATTTTGTTCATCCATTCATCAGTTGATGAACATTTAGATTGTTTCCCCTTTTTGACTATTGTGACTAATGCTAGTGTGAATATTCTTATGTAAGTATTTTTGTGGGTGTACGTTTTCATTTCCCTTGGGTATACATACTTAGGAGTAAAATTGCTGGGTCATATGGTAACTCTTTAACTTTTTGAGGAACCCCAAACTGTTTCCTGTAGATGCTGCACCATTTTACATTTCCACCAGCAATGTGTGAAGATACATATTACCTCTTAATCCTCACAATAGACTTAAGAGTTAAGTTGTTATCCTAATTTTTTAAGTGGGGAAACTGACTCACAGAGAGATTCAGTACCTTTTCCAAAAATTGCAGAGCTAAGAAGTGACAGAATCGGGATTTAAAATCTGGCGGTGTGGCTCTACAATCTGCTTTGAACTTTAACATAATATGTACAAAGCCTGAAGCAAATTCTCAGTACTGTATTTAAGAGGGCATAGCAATGTAAGTCTTCCTAAATCAATAATTTATAAATGAAACAACTTAAAAGACTTCCAAGTTTCAATCTTACGATATTTATTTATCACACAAATCAATATACTTAAACTCATCTATATAAATTATTTCCTGTAGTAAGAAGAAAAAGAGCAAAGATAAGAAGAGAAAAAGAGAAGATGAAGAAACCCAGCTTGATATGTTGGTGAGTCAGTTTTCAGTGCTTTATTCTGAAAAAAGTTAACATTTCTTGAGATCTCATTGAAAATATTTTCCTAGTTAGAAATTTATGATGTATTCATATTTGTCTTAAAGTGCTTAAATATTGCCTACAGTTGTAAATTCCATTTATTCTTTAGCACAGTAGATGCTACTGATGCCTTTACTTCATTATCAGAACAGAGCACAGGAGAGAAGAATTACAACACTCTGACTTAGTAGGCACCATTAGACTGCTTAATAGCCGGAGATTCTGATACATAATTTTAAAGGCTTAATGTAAATGTTATTCAACCAAATATATTTTACAAGCTATTTTCTTTGAACATCTGTACATTTTAGTTGTAGAAGTCAGTTGTCTCTTAAACGAAGTATCTTCACAGGAAAAATCATTATTTTGTGAACTCTGAAATGAATGAAAATTTTAAATACAATATCAGGGTGGCCTGTAAATGATACTAGAAATAAACTGACCCAAACACACTTAACCAGCCTGTTTTCCGTTTAGCTGTTTCCATACTTTTTTTTCTTTTTTAAAACTTGGCAAGTTGCATTTTGAATCTTCATAAATTATGGTAGCTTAAAAAATATATAAAATATGGAATGGTGTAAAGCTAATGTTCTGGAAGATCATTGCTTTTGAAATGGCAAATCAACAATTCTAAAATTAGGGTAAATATCTAGGGTAGATATGTAGATGTGGAATTGCTGTGTCAAAGGATAGTTGAATGTTTAACTATATAAGAAACTGTCAAAAATTTTCTAAAGTGGTTGTGCTATTTTATCCTCCCAACAAGAATGAATTAGTTCTCCAGTTACATCCTTGCCAAGAGTTGATGGTGTTATCAGTCTTTTCTCCCAGTCTGAGTTTTACCTTTTCAGTTTCTTAATGGTGGTTTTTGGATGGACAGCTTTTTTTTTTTTTTTTTTTTGAGATGGAGTCTTGCTCTGTCACCCAGACTGGAGGGCAGTGGCGCAATCTTCGTTCACTGCTAGGTCCACCTCCCAGGTTCACGCCATTCTCCTGCCTTAGCCTCCCAAGTAGCTGGGACTACAGGCACCTGCCACCACGCCCAGCTAATTTTTTGTGTTTTTAGTAGTGACAGGGTTTCACCATGTTAGCCAGGATGGTCAGAAGCTTTTAATTTTTATAAAGCTTAGTTTATTTTTTTTTCTTTTATGGTTACTGCCTTATCTCTTTGATCTAAGAGATCTTTGCTTACCCCAAAGTCAGGAAGATATTCTACATTGTCTTTTAGAGGCATCATAGTTTTAGTTTTTACATTAAATCTGTCATTAATCTCAAATTAATTTTTGGCATGGTGTGAGTTTGGTTTCAAGATTTACTTTTTTTTTTTTTTAACATCTTGATAGCCATTTGTGCCAGCACCACTGGTGTTTCCTTTTTCCATTAATCCAGTTTCATATCTTCATAAAAAGTCAATTAACTTTCTATGTATTGGTCTATTTCTGGACTCTGTTCTATCGATTGTCTGTTTTTCTTTTGGTATATTTCTCTTGATTGCTATAATTTCATGAAGTCTTGAGATCAGGTAGTGTGTGTCCTCCAACTTTGTACTTACTATTAGTTTATTAATTTCTACAGTGAAGCCTGTTGGATTTTCTCGGAGAATTGTATTGAGTCCAGATCATTTGGGGGAGAATCAACATCTTAATATTGGGCCTCAATATTTCATAATTTTCAATGTAGCAGTCTTGCATGCCTGTTTAAAAATTTATTCTTAAGTATTTTATAATTTTACATTACTGTGTAGAACTTTTGAATTTGACTTTCCAGTTGTTTGCTGTCAGTATGTAGATATACAATTGATTTTTGTATAGTGACTTTATAGTCTGATAAGTCTGTTTCACTTATTACTTCTAGTGGTTTGTTTATATAGAAAACTAAGAAATTTGCAATTATGTTTCCTGTGACTATCATTTTACTTCTTTCTTTCGAATCTTAATGTCTTGTCTTGCTTTTTATTGGTTTATTATACTGTCCAGGACTTCCATAGTGTTGAACAGAAGTCACGAGAATGGGCATAATTGCATTGTTTCCAAGCTTAGGCAGAAAGGTTTCAGTAGTCCACCATATGGTATGATGTCTGTACGATCTACAGAGAAAACCTTTATCAAAATGAGGACATTCCTTTTAAACTTTGTTTCTCGGCAGTTTTTATCATAACGATGTTTAATGCTGTCAAATGTCTCCTTCTGTATCTGTTGAGATGATTATACAACTTTCTTCATTCTGCCAGTGAATTACATTGGTTTCATTTTCAACTTTTAAACTAACTTTACATCCCTGAGATAAACCCCACTTGGTTGTGGTGCATTGTCCTTTGGAATATTGCTAGAGTTGATTTCTAGGTTTTTTTTTTTTTTTTAAGATTTCTATATTGGTGTTGATGGAGATATTGGACTTTTGTATCCTTTTCTTGTAATGTCTTTATTTGATTTTGGTGTCAAGGTGATATTGGGTGTCATAAAATTAGATGGGAAGTGCTGTCTCCTTCCCTGTTTTTGGAAATAGCTGTGTAAGATAGGTATGATTTCTTCTTTACATGTTTGATAGGATTTACCAGTGAAGTCATCTGAACCTAGAGGGTTTTGTTTGGTTTGGTTTTAGTTTTTTGTGGGAGAATTAAGATTTTTTAAGAGATATTTTCAGATTTTTCTGTTGTCAGTTTTGGTAATTTGTGTCTTTTAGGAAAATTTCATTTCATCCAAGTTGTTGGATTTATTGGCATAAAATTTTTCAGAATATTCCTTTAATATCCTTCTAATGTCTGTAGAATCTAATCTGTATTGCAGTCTCTTCATATTGGTAATTTGTGTTTTTTCTATTTTTTCCTGGATCAGTCAGTCTAGCTGGAGATTTATCAATTCTTTATAAGATCACTTATTTTAGATCATTAATGATCTTTTAGTACAGGGGTATTCACTCTTTTAGCTTCCCTGGGCCACAACGGAAGGAGAAGAATTGTCTTGGGCCACACATAGGATACATTAACGATAAGCTGATGAGCCAAAAAAAAGGAAAAAAAATCTCATAATGTTTCAAGAAAGTTTACAAATTTGTGTTGGGCTGCATTCAAACCTGGCCTGGGCCACATGCAGCCCTCAGGTTGGACAAGCCTGTTTCAGTATTACTTATTTTCTTTTTTTCATTTTTTATTTCATTTATTTTCAGTCTTTTTTTTTCCTCCCTTTAACTTATTTTCAGTTTACTTTGCTCTTGTTTTATTGCTTCTTAAGAAGAGAGTTAGATCTCTTCATTCCACGTTAGTTTTAGTTATAGTCAACACATTTTGCTTTCGTTTTCATTCCATTCAAAATATCATCTAGTTTTCCTTGTGATTTTTCTTTTCATGGACACTTGAGTTATTTAAAAGTGTATTTTTTTTAATTTCTACTACATAGAGATATTATAGGTATGTTATTGTTGCTGATTTCTAATTCATTTATAGTATAGTTGGAGAACATACATTCTTAGTGAATTTCCATGTACACTTGAAAAGAATGTGTATTCTGTAGATGTTGGTTCAGGGTTTTTTTTTTTTTTTTTTTTTTTGGAGATGAAGTCGCACTCTGTTGCCCAGCAGGCTGGAGTGCAGTGGAACGATCTCCGCTCACTGCAGCCTCCGCCTCCCAGGTTCAAGTGATTCTCCTGCCTCAGCCTCTGGAGGAGCTGGAATTACAGGCACCTGCCACCACGCCTGGCTAATTTTTTTAATATTTTTAATAGAGGCGGGGTTTCACCACGTTGGCCAAGCTGGTCTCAAACTCCTGACCTCAGGCGATCCACCCGCCTCGGCCTCCCAAAGTGCTGGGATTACGGGCGTGAGCCGTGGTGCCCGGTGGTTCAGTGTTCTTTAGATGTCAGTTAGATCAACTGGTGGAGCTTGTGACTATGCACATCTTCTGTGTCCTTACTGATTTTTTACTCATCCTACAATGTATTGAGAGTTATGTTAAAATCTCCAGCTGTAATTCTAGATCTGTCTACTTGAGCAGTTTTTGCTTAAAGTATTTTGAAGCTGTCATGTGTACGCATTTAGGATTGTTAATTCTTCCTTATAAATTCAGTCTTTCATTTTCATAACATTTTAACCTTTATTTCTGTTAAATGTCTTGATGCCTAGTTATATTATTTGACCACCCTTTTGCTCCTGTCAAGCCTGGGCCTTTGTTAGTTTGTGCTTATTTATTAGGTTTTTGCCTGTAGACTTAGACAGTGACTCTTACTCTAGGAAAGGTTCATCCTCATGGGCCTCAGCCACATGTTCTAGGTATACTTGATGAGTTCTCTCCACTCTGCTATGTCCCAAATTTGTGTGCTCTCTGGCATCTCCAGTCAGCCCTCAGAAGTGCCAGCCACTCTGCAGAGGCCTTGTGGAGCCTGCCTGCTGTATGCACTCCCCCCAGCCCTTGGCCCCAGACCTGCAGAGAACTTTTGCATTCTCTTTTGAGGCCTCACCTGTATGTAGTTCCCTCTTCTCCAGTACCTTATTCTATGAACTCCAAACACGTTAGCACTGCAAGACTCTCAGCTTAGTGACAGTGACATTGCCTCATTTTTGGAGGTCTCTACCTCTCTCTGTGTGGTCGAGAAACTGCCATTGGGCAGAAAACAGAAGTGTGTGTGAGATTTGCCTCCTGTGTTTTCCTGTTCTCAAATATCACAGTCCTGTTCTGCCTGTGTTCCAATCCCTGAAAACAGTTTTCTCAAATATTCTATCCAGCTTCAGTCGTTGGTCATGGTGGGAGGGCAAGTTCATCTTGGCTGGAAGAGGAAGTCCTTCTGCGTCTTTTTCTCCTTGTCCTTCCACCTTCTTTTGCATTGTGGATTTTCTAAACTTGCCATATAAGTAAGCATGTGCCTATTTGTGAAGGGAAAGAAAAAACCCTTTTAATTTTTTGAAGCTGTTCTGTTGGTTCCTCACAAGGATCTGAAGGGATTGGTAAATAGGATGAAAGAAATTCTGTCTTTCACATGGAGAATACCGTGTGTGACATTAATAAAAATGAGCATGTCTGTAAGCAAAGAGTTTCACTGAGCTCTGCTAGAATCAGAAGCAACTGAACTTACATCGTAGTTTGCAAAACACAGATTTGATTTACCCAGGAACTAAAGCTGAGTAAGCTATGGGTTAATAGAAGGTCTGTGAAGGGTACTTAGACTACAGTAAGATTGGGGAAGAAAATTCCATTTCCAAATCTAAGATATATCATTCCTTTGTGCCAAGCACATAATGAAGGTAGAGGTTTAAGGGGGCCCTTAGCACAGAAGCACTGGGTTAGTCAGAAGGTGAGGTGAGCTGTCACACAGCCTTGATGCTAGAATGAGGGTGCCCTGATAGTGTCTTATCAGCCATGACACTGGTGCATCGGGCCAGGTTTGTTTTTTTTTCTTTTTTTTGAGACAGGCTGTTGCTTTGTTACTCAGGCTAGAGTGCAGTGACACGATCATGGCTCAGTGCACCCTTGACCTCGTAGGCTCAAGCAATCCTCTCACCTCGAACTCCCGAGTAGCTGGGACCACAGTCTTGTACCACCATACCCAGCTAATTTCTTAATTTTTTTGTAGAGATGGGGGTCTCCTTTTGTTGCCTAGGCTGATTTTGAACTCCTGGGCTTAAGTGATTCTCCTGCTTCCACCTCTCAAAGTGCTGGATTACAGGCATGCCAGACATATGGAAACATTCTCAACTATCTGAAAATACGTGAAAAGCTTTGTTATGCATTGTGAGACAATACAGCAGGAATATTTCACCATCTGCCTAAGGTTTAAAAGGAAATAACTTTAAGCATGTGTCTAAATAGGAAGTAATGTTTTAGAGCGGATTCTCTTAAATTCAGCTTGTGCGTCTGCAGCATATACACAGCTTGAGCTGTAACCTGACATAGAGACAGGCAACTTCAGTGCCCACTGTTCTTAGGATCCACTGCTTTTTCACAGCTAAAACCCCTGAGTGGCACTGTTAAGTATTATGTTATGTTACTTTAGTCGTTAAACGTATAAGCATACCTCCAAAGGTTGAATGTAGGCCACTTGCAGAAAGTAGGCAGAATGCTCACATTTAATTCTTGATAATACTGTGTTTAGCTTTCTTATTCTTTGAAATCTCATTGAGAAGAAATACTGGCATCTGTTCAAAGTAATTTCTTTTTCAGTTGACAATATTATAAGTAATGTTATTGTATCATTTCCCTACTTGGACAGAGTGTGAAAATTTTGAGGAGCTTGTCTGCCAGAAATTTCTTCTTCATTTGCAAAACATTAATGAGATATTATATTTAAATAATTTTGTTTAATATTAAGTGTACTTGGTGAATGTGGCATAGAACATACAAAATAAAACTAATTTAAAATTATTAACTATTACATTTATAAGAAAGACTTGCTAATCATAACACTGTTGATAATGATTCTGAATAAAGCATTATTTCTTTTCCTGAAAACAATTGTAGCTATAACTCAATCATCTAAATTGCTTATTAGTTTTATTTCTTTTTAATTGTCTATTTTGATTAATTTTCTTTTTCTCCATTGGTTTCGTGTGTTTGTGGAGGTAAAATATACAGAATATAGAATTTGCCAGTTTTTCTATTTTTACGTGTACACTTCAGTGGCATTTAAATACATGCACCATTTTACCTTCCCACCAGCATTGCACAGGGTTTCAGTTTCTCCACATCCTGCCCAACATTTGTTTTTCTGGTTTTCTTGATTTCTGTTTTTTATTTGTTTTGATAATAGCATTCTAATGGGTGTGAAGTGGTATTGCATTATGGTTTTGATTTATATTTCCCTAGTGACTAGTGAAGTTGAGCGTCTTTTCGAGTGCTTATTGGCCATTTGTATATCATCTTTGGAGCAATGTCCGTATATATCCTTTGCCCAGTTTTGAATTGTGGTATTTGTCCTTTTGGAGTTCTCTACATAGTCTGGATATTAATTCCTTATAATGTATGTAGTTTACACATATTTTCTCCATTCTCTGGGTTGCCTTTTATTCTGACAGTGGTTCTTGATGCACAAAAGTTTTTAATTCTGATGAAGTCCAGTTTGTCTGTGTTTTCTTTTGTTGCCTGTGCCTTTGATGTTCTATATAAGAAATCATTGCCAAATTCATTGTCGTGAAGCTTTTTCCATCTTATTCTAAAAGTTTTCTAACTTTAGCTCTTACATTTAGGTCTTTGGTCTATTTTAAGTTACTTTTTGTATTTGGTGTTAGATAAGGGTCCAACTTCATTTTAGCTAAAATTTTATGTATTTTAAAATTGATTATGAAAAGCATGAAATGTTTAGTTGAATAGAAAATTTTGTGCAGTGGAATTAACTGAATCTTTAAAACCTTTTTATTATGGAAATATCCAAACTAATCCATACATAGAAGAATATAATGAGTCCCCCATGTGCCCAGGCCCCAGCATTAATTATCAATATTTTGCCAATTTCGTTTCATTTACATACACACCCCCACACACGTTTTTTCCTAAAAAATTTTAAGTAAAATCACAGATATTACATCATTTTATCCATAAGTACATAAATGGACATTTCTTTTTTATTTATTTATTTTTTTATTATTATACTTTAAGTTTTAGGGTACATGTGCACATTGCGCAGGTTAGTTACATACGTATACATGTGACATGCTGGTGTGCTGCACCCACTAACTCATCATCTAGCATTAGGTATACCTCCCAATGCTATCCCTCCCCCCTCCCCCCACCGCACAACAGTCCCCAGAGTGTGATGTTCCCCTTCCTGTGTCCATGTGATCTCATTGTTCAATTCCCACCTATGAGTGAGACTATGCGGTGTTTGGTTTTTTGTTCTTGCGATAGTTTACTGAGAATGATGATTTCCAATTTCATCCATGTCCCTACAAAGGACATGAACTCATCATTTTTTATGGCTGCATAGTATTCCATGGTGTATATGTGCCACATTTTCTGAATACAGTCTATCATTGTTGGACATTTGGGTTGGTTCCAAGTCTTTGCTATTGTGAATAATGCCGCAATAAACATACGTGTGCATGTGTCTTTATAGCAGCATGATTTATAGTCCTTTGGGTATATACCCAGTAATGGGATGGCTGGGTCAAAAGGTATTTCTAGTTCTAGATCCCTGAGGAATTGCCACACTGACTTCCACAATGGTTGAACTAGTTTACAGTCCCACCAACAGTGTAAAAGTGTTCCTATTTCTCCACATCCTTTCCAGCACCCGTTGTTTCCTGACTTTTTAATGATTGCCATTCTAACTGGTGTGAGATGGTATCTCATTGTGGTTTTGATTTGCATTTCTCTGATGGCCAGTGATGGTGAGCATTTTTTCATGTGTTTTTTGGCTGCATAAATGTCTTCTTTTGAGAAGTGTCTGTTCATGCCCTTTGTCCACTTTTTGATGGGGTTGTTTTTTTCTTGTAAATTTGTTTGTGTTCATTGTAGATTCTGGATATTAGCCCTTTGTCAGATGAGTAGGTTGTGAAAAATTTCTCCCATTTTGTAGGTTGCCTGTTCACTCTGATGGTAGTTTCTTTTGCTCTGCAGAAGCTCTTTAGTTTAATTAGATCCCATTTGTCAATTTTGGCTTTGGTTGCCATTGCTTTTGGTGTTTTAGACATGAAGTCCTTGCCCATGCCTATGTCCTGAATGGTAATGCCTAGGTTTTCTTCTAGGGTTTTTATGGTTTTAGGTCTAGTGTTTAAGTCTTTAATCCATCTTGAATTGATTTTTGTATAAGGTGTAAGGAAGGGATCCAGTTTCAGCTTTCTACATATGGCTAGCCAGTTTTCCCAGCACCATTTATTAAATAGGGAATCCTTTCCCCATTTCTTGTTTTTGTCAGGTTTGTCAAAGATCAGATAGTTGTAGATATGCGGCATTATTTCTGAGGGCTCTGTTCTGTTCCATTGATCTATATCTCTGTTTTGGTACCTGTACCATGCTGTTTTGGTTACTGTAGCCTTGTAGTATAGTTTGAAGTCAGGTAGTGTGATGCCTCCAGCTTTGTTCTTTTGGCTTAGGATTGACTTGGTGATGCAGGCTCTTTTTTGGTTCCATATGAACTTTAAAGTAGTTTTTTCCAATTCTGTGAAGAAAGGCATTGGTAGCTTGATGGGGATGGCATTGAATCTGTAAATTACCTTGGGCAGTATGGCCATTTTCACGATATTGATTCTTCCTACCCATGAGCATGGAATGTTCTTCCATTTGTTTGTATCCTCTTTTATTTCCTTGAGCAGCAGTTTGTAGTTCTCCTTGAAGAGGTCCTTCACATCCCTTGTAAGTTGGATTCCTAGGTATTTTATTCTGTTTGAAGCAATTGTGAATGGGAGTTCACTCATGATTTGGCTCTCTGTTTGTTTGTTGTTGGTGTATAAGAATGCTTGTGATTTGTGTACATTGATTTTGTATCCTGAGACTTTGCTGAAGTTGCTTATCAGCTTAAGGAGATTTTGGGATGAGATGATGGGGTTTTCTAGATATACAATCATGTCATCTGCAAACAGGGACAATTTGACTTCCTCTTTTCCTAATTGAATACCTTTTATTTCCTTCTCCTGCCTAATTGCCCTGGCCAGAACTTCCAACACTATGTTGAATAGGAGTGGTGAGAGAGGGCATCCCTGTCTTGTGCCAGTTTTCAAAGGGAATGCTTCCAGTTTTTGCCCATTCAGTATGATATTGGCTGTGGGTTTGTCATAGATAGCTCTTATTATTTTGAAATATGTCCCATCAATACCTAATTTATTGAGAGTTTTTAGCATGAAGGGTTGTTGAATTTTGTCAAAGGCCTTTTCTGCATCTGTTGAGATAATCATGAGGTTTTTGTCTTTGGTTCTGTTTATATGCTGGATTACATGTATTGATTTGCATATATTGAACCAGCCTTGCATCCCAGGGATGAAGCCCACTTGATCTTGGTGGATAAGCTTTTTGATGTGCTGCTGGATTCTGTTTGCCAGTATTTTATTGAGGATTTTTGCATCAATGTTCATCAAGGATATTGGTCTAAAATTCTCTTTTTTGGTTGTGTCTCTGCCCGGCTTTGGTATCAGAATGATGCTGGCCTCATAAAATGAATTAGGGAGGATTCCCTCTTTTTCTATTGATTGGAATAGTTTCAGAAGGAATGGTACCAGTTCCTCCTTGTACCTCTGGTAGAATTTGGCTGTGAATCCATCTGGTCCTGGACTCTTTTTGGTTGGTAAGCTATTGATTATTGCCACAATTTCAGATCCTGTTATTGGTCTATTCAGAGATTCAACTTCTTCCTGGTTTAGTCTTGGGAGAGTGTATGTGTCAAGGAATTTATCCATTTCTTCTAGATTTTCTAGTTTATTTGCGTAGAGGTGTTTACAGTATTCACTGATGGTAGTTTGTATTTCTGTGGGATCGGTGGTGATATCCCCTTTATCATTTTTTATTGCGTCTATTTGATTCTTCTCTCTTTTCTTCTTTATTAGTCTTGCTAGTGGTCTATCAATTTTGTTGATCCTTTCAAAAAACCAGCTCCTGGATTCATTAATTTTTTGAAGGGTTTTTTGTGTCACTATTTCCTTCAGTTCTGCTCTGATTTTAGTTATTTCTTTCCTTCTGCTAGCTTTTGAATGTGTTTGCTCTTGCTTTTCTAGTTCTTTTAATTGTGATTTTAGGGTGTCAATTTTGGATCTTTCCTGCTTTCTCTTGTGGGCATTTAGTGCTGTAAATTTCCCTCTACACACTGCTTTGAATGCGTCCCAGAGATTCTGGTATGTTGTGTCTTTGTTCTCTTTGGTTTTAAAGAACATCTTTATTTCTGCCTTCATTTCATTATGTAACTAGTAGTCATTCAGGAGCAGGTTGTTCAGTTTCCATGTAGTTGAGTGGTTTTGAGTGAGATTCTTAATCCTGAGTTCTAGTTTGATTGCACTGTGGTCTGAGAGACAGTTTGTTATAATTTCTGTTCTTTTACATTTGCTGAGGAGAGCTTTACTTCCAAGTATGTGGTCAATTTTGGAATAAGTGTGATGTGGTGCTGAAAAAAATGTATATTCTGTTGATTTGGGGTGGAGAGTTCTGTAGATGTCTATTAGGTCTGCTTGGTGCAGAGCTGAGTTCAATTCCTGGGTATCCTTGTTGACTTTCTGTCTCATTGATCTGTCTAATGTTGACAGTGGGGTGTTAAAGTCTCCCATTATTAATGTGTGGGAGTCTAAGTCTCTTTGTAGGTCACTCAGGACTTGCTTTATGAATCTTGGTGCTCCTGTATTGGGTGCATATATATTTAGGATAGTGAGCTCTTCTTGTTGAATTGATCCCTTTACCATTATGTAATGACCTTCTTTGTCTCTTTTGATCTTTGTTGGTTGAAAGTCTGTTTTATCAGAGACTAAGATTGCAACCCCTGCCTTTTTTTTTTGTTTTCCATTTGCTTGGTAGATCTTCCTCCATCCTTTTATGTTGAGCCTATGTGTGCCTCTGCACATGAGATGGGTTTCCTGAATACAGTACACTGATGGGTCTTGACTCTTTATCCAATTTGCCAGTCTGTGTCTTTTAATTGGAGCATTTAGTCCATTTACATTTAAAGTTAATATTGTTATGTGTGAATTTGATCCTGTCATTATGATGTTAGCTGGTTATTTTGCTCGTTAGTTTATGCTGTTTCTTCCTAGTCTCGATGGTCATTACATTTTGGCATGATTTTGCAGCGGTTGGTACTGGTTGTTCCTTTCCATGTTTAGTGCTTCCTTCAGAAGCTCTTTTAGGCAGGCCTGGTGGTGACAAAATCTCTCATCATTTGCTTGTCTGTAAAGTATTTTATTTCTCCTTCACTTATGAAGCTTAGTTTGGCTGGATATGAAATTCTGGGTTGAAAATTCCTTTCTTTAAGAATGTTGAATATTGGCCCCCACTCTCTTCTGGCTTGCAGGGTTTCTGCCGAGAGATCCGCTGTTAGTCTGATGGGCTTCCCTTTGAGGGTAACCCGACCTTTCTCTCTGGCTGCCCTTAACATTTTTTCCTTCATTTCAACTTTGGTGGATCTGACAATTATGTGTCTTGGAGTTGCTCTTCTCGAGGAGTATCTTTGTGGCGTTCTCTGTATTTCCTGAATCTGAACGTTGGCCTGCCTTGCTAGATTGGGGAAATTCTCCTGGATAATATCCTGCAGAGTGTTTTCCAACTTGGTTCCATTCTCCCCATCACTTTCAGGTATACCAATCAGACGTAGATTTGGTCTTTTCACATAGTCCCATATTTCTTGGAGGCTTTGCTCGTTTCTTTTTATTCTTTTTTCTCTAAACTTTCCTTCTCGCTTCATTTCATTCATTTCATCTGCCATTGCTGATACCCTTTCTTCCAGTTGATCGCATCGGCTCCTGAGGCTTCTGCATTCTTCCTGTAGTTCTCGAGCCTTGGTTTTCAGCTCCATCAGCTCCTTTAAGCACTTCTCTATATTAGTTATTCTAACTGGGAGGCACCCTCCAGCAGGTGCACACTGACACCTCACACTGCAGGGTACTCCAACAGACCTACAGCTGAGGGTCCTGTCTGTTAGAAGGAAAACTAACAAACAGAAAGGACATCCACACACCAAAAACCCACCTGTACATCATCACCATCATCAAAGACCAAAAGTAGATAAAACCACAAAGATGGGGAAAAAACAGAACAGAAAAACTGGAAACTCTAAAAATCAGAGCGCCTCTCCTCCTCCAGAGGAACGCAGCTGCTCACCAGCAACGGAACAAAGCTGGACGGAGAATGACTTTGAAGAGCTGAGAGAAGGCTTCAGACGATCAAATTACTCTGAGCTACGGGAGGACATTCAAACCAAAGGCAAAGAAGTTGAAAACTTTGAAAAAAATAAATGTACATTAATTAACGTGGTATGTCTTTCTCTCATCACCTGTTTTGTTCTTTACTTTTATATTATACTATGTCATTATCAGACCTTGTAAAATTAACAAGAATTCCTTAATATGTCATATCCAGTTAATGATTGACTCATTTCTACTCTAGTTAAGGTACAAATTAGGAGGAGGTTTGAGGATATTTTTTAACATTAAGATATAAACTTTTATAACAACTGCTAAAATAATTGTTGCTAGAGTCTAACATTTATATTGGCAAATTGGACATTAGTATACATAGGCATAGATTCTGCTCATTTTGCTTTCAATCTAAAATCATAGTTAAGATTACTGGCTGGGCGCGGTGGCTCACACCTGTAATCCCAGCTCTTTGGGAGGCAGAGGCGGGTGAATCACGAGGTCAGGAGTTCAAGACCAGCCTGGCCAATGTGGTGAAACCCTGTCTCTACTAAAAATACAAAAAAAATTATTTGTGCATGGTGACAGGCTCTTGTAACCCCAGCTACTCGGGAAGCTGAGGCAGAGAATTGTTTGAACCCAGGAGGTGGAGGTTGCAGTGAGCCAAGATCGCATCACTGCACTTCAGCCTGGGCAACAGAGCGAGACTCCATCTCAAAAAAAATAAATAAATAAAAATTACTATGCTAGAAAGTCTTCCTGTAGAGGCATTTTTAAGAAGCATTATGATAGGCATTGCCTCTGGAAAGCAGGCATGAATAGATGGCTGGGGTCTATCATGAGAGAGACCGTTCTCCATATATCACTTTGTACCTTCATATGTTGCCTTTTGTTTTGTTTTGGTTTTTTTTTGAGACAGGACCTTGCTCTGTCACTCAGGCTAGAGTGCAGTGGCATGATCATAGCTCACTATAACCTTGAACTCCTGGGCTCAAGTGATCCTCTTTCACAGCTCCCCGAGTAGTTGGGATTACAGGCATGCACCCCCATGCCTGGCTGTATGTTGCTATTGTGTATTTTAAAAACCTAATCCTGACTGTGCTGGTAGTCGCATGAATCTGTGCACATACGTGCAAACAAGTACATGTAAAACTGGTGAAATCTGAATAAGCTTCATGGATTATATCAATGTCAGTTTCCGGATTCTAACAATGTATGATACTTATGCAAGATGTTATCACTGAGACAAAGCGAGTAAAGGATATGTGAGATCTTCATAGTATTTCTTACGACTGCAAAATAAAAAGTTTTTAAAACTCAGTTACAATAACAAAGAACTCTGTGTCAAAACTAAAATATAAAGTTGAAATATCAATTTTATTTTTTAGGAATCTGGTGAACAGTAACAAACTTTGGTGAAATTTCAGGAACCATAGCCATTGAAGTGGATGAGGGAACCTATATACATGCACTCAACAATGGTCTTTTTACCCTGGGAGCTCCACACAAAGAAGGTTTGTGTCTGGAACGGAAGATCCTGCCACAAGTGTAGATTTTAGGACATTCATTCACTTAGGCCAAACTCTAACTAGTCTCAAACATTTTCCAAAGGAATGGAACCATTGCATTTGACTCTTCCATTTTTTTAAATTCCTTAATATGTACCAGCCATTGGCAAGTCCCTCTTTCTAATATAAGCATTTGAAAACATTCCGTATAGTTCCAGAAGAGTATCTTTGGAAATCCAAACAATATGAATAATTAAAATAGTAAGTGGAAAGAAAAAAGAAAACCTATTTGAGTCAAACATATTTGAATTTCTTTTTTATTCAGACCTATTACCAAAACTAACCTGGGTGCATTTAACAGTTTGAAGTTTCCACATTTTCTTTAGCCCATTAGAGGAAGCACTAATGAGATACGAAGTAATTAGAAGATAAAAAGCAGTATCATTTCGTCAGCAAGGCCATCCATTGAATAAATGAAAGCATTTAGCTTTTTTAAATAAGTGCTTATTTATGACTGTATTTTAAAACAAAGAGAAGCTATCTCGAAAGTTATTAAATAAGCATTATATCACCCTGTCTTACTCAGTGTATACAATTAGCACTATAGTTAAAAGAAGGTAAAATAGATCTTGATTCCAAAGATACAGTATTACAGTGACATCAGTATATCTGAATATTCTTACATTTAATTGCAGAAGAAAATAGCCACATTTTTTAAAGCAAAATAATGTCTTTATATTTATAGCATATGTCAAATTTATTTTCAAATGTTTTTTCTCCAATAGTTGATGAGGGCCCTAGTCCTCCAGAGCAGTTTATGGCTGTCAAATTATCTGATTCCAGGTGAACTTATATTGTAATATAATTAGTAACCAGTTATTTTAAAAATTTAATTGTATTCATTAAAAATTTTAGTATCTGTCTTAAGCCCATGGTAATTTTGATATAAAAAACAAAATAGCTTTTTTGAAAAGTAGATTTTGTGATCTACTTTTAGTGGATTTCCTCTCAATATATAATGCTAGGCTGGAGAAAAGATATGTAAGTTAAAAGATGAAGATTAATAATTTTATACGGCAAATAAGATAGATTAAAAAATAAATCAAATAGTACAAAACCTGGTTCACTGTTGCTATGATATTTAAACTCACTGTTTGGAAGTCCAAAGACAAACAGGAAGACTAAAAAAAAGGAATATTGTTGAAACCAGCAGAGAATGTTACAGCATCATAACGACCAAAAGAATATTTGTACTCACTATTTTTACAGTCATTTTATTTTTTATTCTCACCTTGTGCAGAAGTATAGAATGATTCTTTGGGTAAAAGATACTGAAAGTGAATTTACATATTTTAGTAATTGGTTACATCAACATGATAATGATTTCTGTTATATAATCATTAATGTATAAGGGAGTAAAAGTCAATTCTGGCATCCGAGGAGATTCTTGGTAAGGTAAAAGAAATCATAATTTTAAAAAATCACATTAAGATGATTATTTCTATACTTTCTTTGAAAGTGATAAGTAGGGTGAAAAAGAATAAAAGCAGAGGAAGAAAAACTCAATAGTTTTAAACTGCTTTACAATTATAAACAAAAAAGGATTATAAATAAAACTGACAAATGAGAAAATATTTGCAACAATCTTAATAGGCAGTGAGTTCTTACTCTTCATATGTATCTTGTATAGAATTCATAGCACTGAAGACCCCAGTAGAAAAATTGCGAACAATCAGATCTGAATAGAAAAATGGACAAGGGGCATTACCAGATAATCTAAAAACTAAAAAGGAAAGGAAAAGAAAAATAATTGTTATTCTAGTTAACTACTAAAATGCAAATTAATAGGATACTGTTTTTTTCATATCAGGTTTTCAAGTATTTTTTTAGAGTCATAACATTTAAAAAAAAAATCCATGATACAAAACATACTCTGTTAATTTGAGGTAAGAATGTAAATGGAAGCAGCATTTTCTGGAAAACAGTTTGATGACATAAAGTTTTAGTAATTTATTATTGAAGTTTATAACTAAAGAGGTATAATTGAAGCATGATGAATTTTGAAAATATTTATTATGTAATATATAAGGTACAATGTTTATATTAAAAAAGCAAAATATAAAACTAAATTTAAAACTGTACTGTCCAATATGGCAACAACTAGTCACATGTAGCTTTTTTTTTTTTTTGAAGGCACAGAGTCTCACTCTGTCACCCAGGCTGGAGGGCAGTGGTGTGATCATAGCTCACTATAACCTCAAATTTCTGGGCTCAAGCACTCCTCCTGCGTCAGCCTCCCAAGTAGCTGGTATTACATGTGCACACCACCATGCCCAGCTAACTTTTTAAATTTTTTGTAAAGATGGGGTCTCACTATGTTGTCCAGGCTGATCTTGAACTTCTTGCCTCAAGCACTTCTCCCATTGGCTTCCCAAAGCACAGAGATTACAGGAGTGAGTCACCACTCAGCCACATGCATCTTTTGAACACTTGGAATATGTCCAGTCTGGAATTTTAGATATGTACACACCCACACACATACACATGTCCTGTTTTGATGTCCTATAATTAATTTTCTCTTAGTTTTTAACTTTTATCTATCTTATTAATGTACAGAATCGCCCTGAAACCTGGCTATGGAAAATATCTTAGTATAAATTCAGATGAACTTGTTGTTGGCGTTCAGATGCAATTGGACCAAGAGAACAATGGGAACCAGTCTTTCAAAATGTGAGTGCTGTTATTGTTTATAAAAACTTCCTGTCAGTTTAACACAAAGTCTGTAGCAGTCAATAATAATATATTTAAAAAGAAAAAGTAGGATGCAATAGTACAATACATTAAATTGGAATAAATCAGTAAGAACACAGAGCCTTAAAGAGATCTCAAAATATAGTGCAACAAAAATAGCTTTAGTACTTTTGCCCACAATTATTTCTGTATACCCTTAGTGCCCGATATGGATCTCATTTCCATTGAAGAACCAGTCAATTTTAGGTCACAGAGTAGGAAAACAGAATCGTTCCTAAGTATCTTCTTTGTGGCAG
Source organism: Homo sapiens (assembly GCF_000001405.40). NCBI lineage: Eukaryota > Metazoa > Chordata > Mammalia > Primates > Hominidae > Homo > Homo sapiens. The sequence goes on from NC_000009.12 coordinate 41,012,048, forward strand.
AAATCATGGATGCTTTCAGAAACTTTAGAGACTGTAAGCGAACAGTAGAGCTAGCTAATACCAAGTTGTGACAATTTGCTTATAAAATATAAATAATAATAGTTCATTGAAGTAAATTATCTCTAAAAGACTTTCAGTTCATAAACTTAAAATAGTGTATGAAAAGATAGTTTTAATATAAGAAGAAAAAAGATAATATACTAATTCTTAATTTTAGTAAGTAGACAGTTGTAGTGTATGGATGTTTTGTTAAATCTTTGTTGATACAGAATATATAATTTCCTTTTTCTGTTTGTGTGAGAAGTAAAGATTGAACAAAAATATGTGAGTGCTAAACTGTCTTTAAAAAGTAGATAACTATATCAAAAACAGTAAGGACCAGTGGGCACCATGCAGAACAAGCAAATAGAAGCTCAGCCTTTGAGTAGCAGCTTTGGTAGTATACAAAAATGAACTGAAAATAGGAACTCAGCAGTGTTTTAAGATGACAGATTAAACAAACATCCCACCAGAAAGAGGTAATCACTTAGACTAATTTCCTCATCCCCTAGGATAAAATCTTAAGTCAGTGACTTGAAAACTATTTTGACCCAATCCATTGAGAAATGCATTTTTACATTGCAGCCCAGCACACACATATGTATAACTGAAGCAAGAGTTGTACTTAACAATACTTACTTATCCGTGTGTTATGCATCTTGATATTTCTTATTCTCTTTTACCCCTTCCTCTGTGTGTGTGTGTGTATTCTTTTTCCCCCCCACCCACCCGATACCGTTCAGGAAACACTACGTTGATTTCATTACCTGCTAATGTGTTGCAACCCCTTTGAGATGATCCTACTAGTTATGATGAGATGCTTCTAATAAAAGTTACACCAGTAGAAAATGCCAATATTTCATAAGGCCAGGATGATGACTTAGATAGTACTAATATTACAACACTTTAGGAAAGTTCATTTCATTTTATTTTTAGGAAGGACACTAATAGAGTTCCATAAAAGAAAAGTCTTTAGTGCATGTTATTTATTATTCAGGGTGTAGATACTATTTTAACTTCCACATTCTAAATTATAGTGTGGGTATCAATCTATGAAGTAGGTGCTGACAAGTTGTCAACATTACTGACTTTTATGGTGAAGTTTTAAATTTGAATTTTTATTCAAATATAAATGAAAAGACCATTTTCTCAGGTAAAAAAATCTATCATGCTTTGATGCTTTTCACTTTAATTGAAAAAAGACTCATTATAAAAGTACAATGCAAGAAATATTTAGAAAAATATTCCTGATCTCCAGTTGTTACTGTACCTAGATTTTTCTTGGGACCTATGTGATAAAACTTATCATGATTCTTGAAGAAATAGAAGTTCATACAACTGTTATCAGAATTTATATAAAATGTTTCTCAGAAAATGTGGTTTCTCCAGCTCGAACATTCTATAACTCTAAGCCAAATTGAAAGAGCAGATTGATGGGATAAAACACAAAGTATGGAAATAAATAATAAACTGCTACCCTGAAAAAGCCTACCTCTGCACATTGTTTAAAAATTGGAAAAAATCCTACTTCTGTGTTCTGATATTCAATGCAAGTCATTAGAGTAAGGTGAGACTCTTCCTGTGGATTCAGATTGAAATCAGGGACGGTGTAGGGAGGCCATGGTCAACTTTTGAGCTACCCTTGAGGGAAGAAATTAATTGATCAAATATTAACTGCCCAAGTATATTCACAGGATGGCCATCCAGTAATGAGAATGAACAGTCTCCAACTAAAGGCAACAATATAGATGAATCTCGGAAACATGATATTGACCAGACAGAAAAGATTCCACTTACATAAACTTCAAAAGAAGATAAAACTGATCTATGACATTAATAGTCAGAATATTCATTATCCTTGAGGGAACTAAACTGGGAAGCCACATGATAGGGCATCTGGAAGCTAGTAATGTCCTCTTTCTTGATCTGTTACATTGGTGTGTTTATTTCATTAGATTTATTGAGCTATACATTTACCACCGTGTACTTGTCTCTGTATATGTTTTGCATTGAAATAAATTTTACCAATAAAATGATAAAGCAAAATAAAGCATTAACTGCTTACTGTTTTCAATAATATGCTCCTCTCTCCAAGAGGCCCCCCATACAGGTGAAAGTGCCCTGAATTATGACCCCAAATATGGCCTAATGGCAGGATATCTGAAACTATAGTAACAGGATGTTGGAAAAAAAAGTTTCCCTGGGATAATCGAATACAACAAAAGGGGTATTCCAAAACCAGCTCACCATATGCAGACCTTATCATGAAAATTCTGAGAACCATTTCCATGACTATTGGATTCCACAAGATTTTTGAAGATATTTTTGGGGGGAGGATTTTATCAAGGAGAATTCCCACTTCTGCTTATAGGGAAGAAAAATGAGGAAGGGCTGCTACTTCTAACAAGGCTTCTTAAGACACCTTTCAGAAAGCTTAAATGACCATTTTCATGAACTTAAATGGAGCTGGGAGACCCAGAGGATGCTGCCTGACTTTGGCCCAATGATGTTAAAGTAGCCTGGGGCACCAGGGTAAGGTGGTATTGGAATCAGCAAGGCTTCTCGGGCCAGGAAAGTCATGAGCATTTTCAGTAGAGCAGATGTGTGCCATGTGGGAGAGATCCAGCCAAGGGTCATTTGGGGTTCTGTCCAGTACAATCACTTAGAGAGCGGAGCGCCCTACCAGCAGGAAGCTAGACGGGGGCTACAAATGCGTCACAAGTAAACACCAAGAATGCATGCAACTAGAGATGCATGAACCAGGTACAATGACCTGTAGGAGAGAAGTCTTCTGGAAAACCGTCTTCCAAAGGACCCAAGCAAGCCCCAGGAAAAGCGTCAGTTTTGAACAACCACCAGGCATAGAATGTGCAAAACCAGATTACATCAGTGTCCATTCTGTAAGAGCTTTCTTGTTCCTTACCATTCCTCCAACAGCAAGAGGTCAGAAATGGTGGGCCAGCTGAGATGGGAGAAGAAAAGAGAAATGGCACAAAGTGGAGAGAAGACACCGACCATACCTCCTTTCCTCTCTTTCCCACCACAGGTGGACAGCCCAAAGCACACTCCAACTGGAGGAAGGTTTGCCATTAAAGATAAGGTGGAGTTTTGATTATTATCTTGGCTAGTAAAAGTCATGGGGTCTGCCCACTATCGTATGGGAGGGGCGAGGATTACACCTACTTAATGCGCTTTGAAGAGGCATTGGGAAACCATAATAAAGATGTGGGATTTTTTTTCTTTTCTTTCTATCTCAGAATTGGGCACATTTCTGAGATATTCTGCTGCAATTGTGTAAGATTTGTCTGCAAGCCTTAATTTTCTCATTACCTACTTTTTATAAGTCAGGCACAAATAATTGGAACTGCTTATATAGGGAAAATTGTTGAGGCTTTAAAATGTCTCAACGCCAAATGAGAAGAAAGAGAATACATATTCTTTAGTCTTAATTTGGTTCCCCAGGAGCAAACTTGAATCCTGAAACAAGAATTCAAACTCACAGAGTTTATTTTGTAGGGAGGAAGGGAATGAAGAGAACACAGGTAGGGGAGAAGAGAAATAAGACAAGGAAGAGGAGAAAATTAATAAAGATAGGCTTCTCAAGCCAATTACCACAGTAGGCAACTGAAACTTAATCCCGCATGAGCACGCTAGGGGCCCGTGAAAAACACATGCTTCAGGGTCCCCCGAGGGTTAAAGGAGCTGACGTATTTATACAACAACATCATCATGCACTACTGCTGGGATCCCAACAGAGCCATCCATCACTTCTTATATGGACTCCCTTTGGCTCAAAGCACTTCACCTAGTATTTACTTTTCTCTTACTATTTCATCTTTTTTTGTGGATGACAGGAAATCACTGGCTAACCAATAATCAGATAAGCAGAGCATTTGTGGAAGGAATTCCTCACTCTACATCTTCTCACGAGCATGGCTAATTTATTTCAGATCTGATAGCAATTCCACTTACTTAGAATTTGGATGTCATTCAGTACACACCAGGCCACAACTGAACTGGACAGCCCCTTTTAAATTTCAACAATACTAACATCTCTCACAATAGTTTCTAGCTCCCAGAAAACATAATTTCTATTCTGAAAGAGGATGGGATTAATTCACTTAATTTCAATTCAACAAAATGTACCTATGTATTTATGTATGCTATAGCTAAAATACCATTAGTGTGTGTAGATGATAGATAGATAAGATAGACAGATAGATAGATAGATAGATAGATAGATAGATAGATAGATAGATAGATAGATATTCCCTGCCTTAACAAATTTATAATCAAGAGTTGAAGTAGAAATGTATAAAAATACTATAAAACAAGGCATATTACAATTACTCAAAGCATAAATAAACAAGGTGCTATGCACCATTAAGGAGAGAGCAATAAATTCCAACCAGGTGAAAAAGAAGGAAATTTCATTTCCTTCAGAAATGAAATGAATTTGAGTTATGTCTAAGTAAAGTTGGCTCCTGTCCCTAACTGCAAGCTCCCTACCTGTGGTCACGTTCATGGCTTCAGCTGTCCGCATTTCTGTGTCCATGTTCCAGGGGATTCCTCCAGGTTCCAGGCTGTGCTTTGAATCCCCTTGACTGTAGTCAGGTGTCCCCATTGTCAGCCCTGAGGCTCTTCCCTGAATTCCCCTGCTGGCCTCTGCCCTGCTGGATCCTGCCAGCCTTTGGCTTCGGGGTCTCCCTGCTCACTGCCTCTCAGAACAATCACCTCAGTTCCTCTCTCTGAGAGGTGTGGGCAGATCCCACACTGCCCAGAGCTCTGCCCAGTTCTCTAGGTCTTCAGACTTTGACCTGGCCCAGGTTTTCCATCTGCATGTGAGGAGCAACTGGACACCGGACAGTGGTAGGCCTTGAATGACCAGAAAGTAAATGGACAGGAAGCCAGACAGACTTTGCATGGAATGTGGAAAAGTCCAGAGAAGAATTGGCTCCTTATGACATGAAGAATGAATGAGGTCCCAGCACATAACATGGTGCCTTCTTTTCTCCAGTCCCCTGGCTACTCTTCCAGCAGCATTACCACTGGTATACTTATGCGTACCTCTGTGACCCTTCAACTAATGCTTCATAATGATCATGACTGTCAGTCTCTTCATGTACCTCAATAACTTGTGCCTCACACCCTTCTACTGATGGCCGTCCACTGCCTTTCAATTTTTCTTTCTGTACACTAGGCAAATTCTGATTCTCTAAACCTTCTATTCAACCTTCAATGCACTCTCCAAATACCTCCTCTTCTCTGAAGCCTTTTTTGCCCAGCATCCTCCAATCTTAAGCAAAACTGATTCGTCCCTTCTTCGTACCACCAGTGTACCTTAACCATTATTTCTGTAACTGGTTTACTTGTCTATATGTCTTCTTGGGCAATGAGATTCTCCAAAGCAGAGATGTGCCTTATCATTTCCTCGTGCACCTCCTCTCTGTACTGGGCACAGTATCTGGCCCAGAGCAGTGTGGTCACCAGCCTGCCCAGGGCAGAGGAGGTTCGTAAAGAGAAAGGAGAGTTGTTCACAGTGGGGAGACTGACAGCGGGAGCACATGTGCATTCAGGTCATTAGGTAGGAAGCAGGAAGATGAAATGACAAAGTAGCCAATAGCATATCCTTTCATTGTCTTTTATTTGGACCCATTGCCAGAATCAAGAACAAAGAACCTGGAAGCTCCTGGATTTATCTCACCTGGTAGTCTGAGTGGACTCCAGTGATAGGGTGTCTTAGTCCATTTTGTGTGGCTATAAAGGAATACCTGAGGCTGGGTAATTTATTAAGAAAAGAGGTCTGTTTAGCTCATGGTTCTGCGGGCTATACGGGAAGCCTGGTGCCAGCATCTATTCAGCTTCTGGTGAGGCCCTCAGGCTGTGTCCACTCATGGTAGAAGGTGAAGGAGAGCTGGCATGTGCAGAGATCACATGGAGAGAGAGGAAGCAAGAAGATGGGGAGATACCAGCTCTTTGTGACAACCAGCTCTCATGGGAACTGAGTAAGAACTCACCTCCAAGAGACAGAATTAATTTATTCAAGAGGGATGTGTCCTCATGATCCAAACACCTCCCATTAGGCCCCACCTTCAATACTGGGAATCATATTTCAACATGAGGTTTGGAGAGGACAAACACCCAAACCATAGCATATAGCCTTTGCAATTTCTTTTAATTGATTGAGCTACCCTACACCAGAATGGGTGAAAAAGGACCTTATTTTTTCTGTATATGGCTGTGTTGTTTTGTTAAGAGATGAGTTCCTGCATCAGGACATCATGGGCACTAGCATTTCAAAAATAGTGGAGGCAATAACCTAAGCTCAGTGGCATGAATCCACACTGCACATTTTATTAGCAGTGTAATAATTTTCTAAAAGATTAGTATCACAGATGCACTGATATAAGAATGCTTTGAATTCTTTGAGTTCTCCAGAGGCATATTTTAAGCGTCAGATACAAACTTTACTTTTCCAAATAATGAAAACCAAGGCAGTTTTCCTGAAAGTAAGAGCATCTTTAATTAATTCTAGGTAAGCGATTCTGAAGGTTAGCCAGAAGAGGCAGGTATACCTTAGGGGTAGTGGATAATCTCCAAGGTTTGGTGAGTACTAGCGTGTGTGAGTCTGTGTGTTTGCATAGCTGTTTCTGAAAATATTTGGGAAACCCTTGGGGAGAATCCCCCTCCATTGAGAGTCGCCATCACTGGGAGCCTTTCTTACCCAGGAGAGAGGATATGGAGGCAGAATTTAGGGTGAGAACTGTTACACTCGTAATTGAGGCCCTGAATGGAAATGTGCTGAAAAAGAAAAACATAACGAGAAAGACATAGAAAGAAATGAAGATAGCCAGACAGGTATAGAAGGAACATGACTCCCTTTAAATAGAGAAACAGCCACACGATACTCTCAAGTAATGCTGCTTTGTTATGTCCATATTTTGACCCATTGTGGTACCTGTCCAAATAGCCCTGATTTCAGGCCAAGCCCTGCCTTGATAAATGGAACTCACACAGTAACAACAGGTTTCCTACCACATCGATCTTGTTGATGTTGGAGCAAATTAAAGCAGATGTTTCCTGTCAACTGTGAATCTCTTCCCAAAGAACACATCAGCATCCTCAACCTCTTCAAGCCACACAAAAGACCAAGGACCTCCATGCAACTGGATTTCTCCTTAACCGCACCATTCTATTTGTTAGGTCCATTATCTCTGAACAATTAACATGCTCTGGAATACTGTGTTCCAGAATGTGTATATAAATGGAATATAGCACATGGCCCTATAAAAGAAAGAAACTATTAAGAAAATGGTCCCTTTAGCCAATTAGAGGAAATATAATTTCTGACACAGGGCCGCTATGGCCAGCTGGATACTGATGCATAAAGATACCTAACCGTTTGTAGCAGAGCAGGAGGTGGGACCCAGAGTGTGAGCCCTGAGATGATCTAGAAATTCCTGTGCAAATGGATCCATCAACGAAGGGTGATTTCATCCATTAAGGAAAACCAAGCTGTTTGTGAAGAAAATTTGACAACTGTTCGACGGCGCTTTTCCCTCCTTTAGGAAGTAGGGAACACTGAGTAAATGGGAATGTAGGAAATACTAGCATGTGATATTTATCAGAATAAGACCAGAAATGTCTTTGTAAACTTCATGACTCTCAGATACCATGAAGCATAATGTGTAAGTTTCACTTCCAGCTGCCAGTAATGTTATGTTTAGAGACAGCATTTTCTTCAATAAGCAATTCAGCAAAGTTGAAGATTTAAATAAAGGAAAAAAATAATGCAGACTACATTATAAAGTAATAATAGCAGGTAATAGTCACTGAGTGCTTCTTCTATGCTAATTACTTTACATTTATTATCCCATTCAAGTTTGCATGACAATCAGACAAGAAGCAGATTAGAAAAGAGAAAGCATTCTGTAGCAAACCATTCATTGTGAGTAACAAAGTGCTATGTATGGTGTTAGAGAGCCTGGGCTTTGAATTTACAAAGACCTGCTGAAGTCCAGCAAACACCACTACTAGCTGTAATGTAGGGAAGCTACCTTTTCTGCTCACCACATTGATCAACTACTATAGTCAAAGCACTACACTCAGACTAAAAAATAAAAACAAAGAAGTTGTGGTCCCTGTTCTCAGGGAGCTCATTTAAGTGCTCCCCATGAGCAACATTCATAATCTAAGAGAAGAAAGCTTTATTACAGCCACAAGTTCCGATTCCCCAGGCCAACATAAGTGGTTTCCTCTAAGCATCCTCATTGCCTCTATTGTGGCATTCCATGCATTGTTTTGTAAATGTTGCTGAGGATATCTGACTCTGTCACTAAATCATAAAATGTTTTTTGACAGTAAGCATGAATTTCATTATTCATACACTATCTGACCCAGAGAAGGTTTTCCATAAATGTTTATTGATAAGCAAGTGAGTAAGTTATAATAAGCAAGTGACATCCAAAAGTAATGACATTTTCAGGGAAATATCCATAATTCTAGAATTCTAGATTGTCCTTAAATATTGGGAAAATCATATATATATATATATATATATATATATATATATATATATATAGACACACACATATACACACACACATATTATATATTTAATACATACACACACTACATATATGTGTGTATATATATATTTATATATACTTTTTAAAGAGATAGGGTCTCTGTATGTCTCTGTGTTGCCCAGGGTGGTCTTGAACTCCTGGGCTCAAGCAATCCTCCAGCCTTAGCCTCTGGGGTAGTTGGGACTACAGGCACACCCAGCTAATGGGCAAATAACCTATGAATGAATTAGAGGTGTTGACAGTTTCCCACCCAAAATCATTCCCACTGCTTTTCATATTAAGAGAATCATGACTTTATTCAGGTACCTAGTCCTCAGCAAAGGTGAATTTACACAAAATAGGACAAATATGGCACAGGAGGACTTCTGGAAAAGTTTCCCCGACTTTAAAAAGACACATAAACAGTAGGCAGTCTCTTTTCTGCCATAAGACCACATCGTATGTGAGGGTAATAGCTCGCACTGCTGGGGCCTTTCCATGAGGAAATATCATCAAGGTCAAAGACCACATCCTGAGAATGATAGAACCTGGTTCCTTGAAGACATTGCTGAGGCAATAAATTACCCACCTCTGCTGCTGCCCTTTCTAGACATTTTAATACGAGATGTAACTTTTTCCTTGTTGTTTATGTCATTTGGAATTCAGTTTTTTTACTTGCAACAGAGAGCCACATTGCTTCCCAAAAACCTTGTTCCCAATCTTTGTGGCTATATCATGACTCCATTCGTAAGACCTGGTTTGGCCTCAGAGGTTTGCCCACTCTGAGCATCAATTTACTTATTTGTAAAATGGGAAAAATACTTTTCTCATCGGGTTGTAAATTGTCATATATAACACCCTGGACTATTTTCTCTGGTAGATATTCCTCCTCTCCTCCTCCTCCTCCTCCTCCTCATCATCATCATCCTCATCACCATCATCAAAAATATCATCATCATAGTTTATGTCAGCATCCTAAATTCTTTAGTCTAAAGAAAAAAATTAGCAATCAAATATTAAAGATATTTTACATCTTCGAAGACTGCAATATTCTACACTGAATGTTTAGGACATCATCTAAACCCACAGTACAGACAGCTAGTTGTCCCTCTATAACTCTCATCCCCTTCTATCTTAATAAGACAACCCCTCATTTTTAGCTATGCTCATGGCCATTCAGAATGAAGACTCCATTTCTCAACTTCCCTTGGAGCTATGTGTGGCCACATCACTAAGTCCTGGCCGATAGGATATATGCAAAAGTGTCAACTATCCACTTCCATGAATCTCCTTAAAAGATAGTGTAGTCCTTTGCCCTTCCTCTTCATCCTCTCTCTAGTTGCTGCCTAAATATGGGCATGGTGGCCGGAGCTCCCACTGCCTGGAACCCTGAGGACAAGGGCTGCATCCTACTAGGGAGGCAGAGCTATGAGCTAGACGCAATGTGGCCCCTGGGGGCTCTTTGCAGAACAGCCACTATCCCAGCCCTTCTAGATGGGGAAAGCGAGGCCCTGAGAAGTGATGAGAATCAGTGGCAAAGTCAGATGTACCACTTCAGTCACACACTCACATTTTTTTGCTTTGTTCTTTTTTTTTTTATTATACTTTAAGTTTTAGGGCACATGTGCACATTGTGCAGGTTAGTTACATATGTATACATGTGCCATGCTGGTGCGCTGCACCCACTAACTCGTCATCTAGCATTAGGTGTATCTCCCAATGCTATCCCTCCCCCCTCCCCCCACCCCACAACAGTCCCCAGAGTGTGATATTCCCCTTCCTGTGTCCATGTGATCTCATTGTTCAATTCCCACCTATGAGTGAGAATATGCGATGTTTGGTTGTTTGTTCTTGTGATAGTTTACTGAGAATGATGATTTCCAATTTCATCCATGTCCCTACAAAGGACATGAACTCAACCTTTTTTATGGCTGCATAGTATTCCATGGTGTATATGTGCCACATTTTCTTAATCCAGTCTATCATTGTTGGACATTTGGGTTGGTTCCAAGTCTTTGCTATCGTGAATAATGCCGCAATAAACATACGTGTGCATGTGTCTTTATAGCAGCATGATTTATAGTCCTTTGGGTATATACCCAGTAATGGGATGGCTGGGTCAAATGGTATTTCTAGTTCTAGATCCCTGAGGAATCGCCACACTGACTTCCACAATGGTTGAACTAGTTTACAGTCCCACCAACAGTGTAAAAGTGTTCCTATTTCTCCACATCCTCTCCAGCACCTGTTGTTTCCTGACTTTTTAATGATTGCCATTCTAACTGGTGTGAGATGGTATCTCATTGTGGTTTTGATTTGCATTTCTCTGATGGCCAGTGATGATGAGCATTTTTTCATGTGTTTTTTGGCTGCATAAAATGTCTATTTTAAAGTTCATATGGAACCAAAAAAGAGCCTGCATCGCCAAGTCAATCCTAAGCCAAAAGAACAAAGCTGGAGGCATCACACTACCTGACTTCAAACTATACTACAAGGCTACAGTAACCAAAACAGCATGGTACTGGTACCAAAACAGAGATATAGATCAATGGAACAGAACAGAGCCCTCAGAAATAACGCCGCATATCTACAACTATCTGATCTTTGACAAACCTGAGAAAAGCAACGGGGAAAGGATTCCCTATTTAATAAATGGTGCTGGGAAAACTGGCTAGCCATATGTAGAAAGCTGAAACTGGATCCCTTCCTTATACCTTATACAAAAATCAATTCAAGATGGATTAAAGACTTAAACGTTCGACCTAAAACCATAAAAACCCTAGAAGAAAACCTAGGCATTACCATTCAGGACATAGGCATGGGCAAGGACTTCATGTCTAAAACACCAAAAGCAATGGCAACCAAAGCCAAAATTGACAAATGGGATCTAATTAAACTAAAGAGCTTCTGCACAGCAAAAGAAACTACCATGAGAGTGAACAGGCAACCTACAAAATGGGAGACAATTTTCGCAACCTACTCATCTGACAAAGGGCTAATATCCAGAATCTACAATGAACTCAAACAAATTTACAAGAAAAAAACAAACAACCCCATCCAAAAGTGGGTGAAGGACATGAACAGACACTTCTCAAAAGAAGACATTTATGCTTTGTTTTAAAGCATCTGCTTGAGCTCTTCCTCGAGTCAGCCCACCTTGGCTCAATGGCATGGCTACCTGCAGCCACACCCCAGCCTCTGCTCTGTGATCTCCTCTAGGAGTTGGCCCTTGATGGAAATTTCCTCTTTAAATCCAAACGACCTTATCCAAATCTCACATTTCACATTTCTTCACGCTCACATTTCTCAGGCTCCTAACACCCACCTGATTTGATAAGAGTCATGTAAAGAAACCCCATCTGGTGGGAAATGTCCACCTTTCACTTCCCAAGTCTCTCCCTAGAGTACCAGTGAAATTGACTAATCGCTTTGCAGATAAAGGGACTCCAGATGATGTTATGAATTTTTCTGAAGTCATTATGAAAGCAAAAAAACAGCCACAATAACGATAAATTGGGGTTGAGATGTTAATTGTTAAAGAAAGTAGCCGATGTTATATTAGTAACAAAGGAGTCCACTTTCACAAATCTCTCCTCTGTCCTCTCATGCCAGTGCACAGGTATATCAAAGAGCAATTCTTTTTGCTCAGGATGTTTCTCTTATTTCACTTTTGTTGCTTTTGGCTGAACTACTAAACAGGTTATAAAATGAACAAATGCTCACAATATGCGCACAAATCACATTATATGTTTTAATGGGATGTGTGGGCAATACAAAGTCAAACCCCTATTATCAGAAGTAGTGGTAGGGATAAACATTTCAGGTCTGTTCGGGGGTTTGAGGCTTTTGGCCAGCATACAGAGACACAGATGTGTTATAAAAGAAACTCTGTATTTTCCCAGAAAGATAATTTTTCTAAAGAGATGGGACTTCTAGGGTCCTATATGTGTTCTATGGAAGCACCTAACAGAGGGAACAATGAATTTTCATGTGTTTTAGAGGATATTAATCAAAAAGTACGGATCAAAAGGCAATAGGGGCTGGGCATGGTGGCTCACGCCTATAATCCCAGCACTTTGAGAGGCTGAGGCAGGAGGATTGCTTGAGTCCAGGAGTTTGAGACCAGCCTAGGCAGCATAGTGAGACCTTGTCTCTACAAAAAATAAAAATAAAAAATTAGCCAGGTAGGGTGGTGCATGTCTGTGTTCCCAGCTACTTGGGAGGCTGAGATGGGAGGATCACTTGAGCCTGGAAGTTCATTGTAGTGAGCTGTGATTGTGCCACTGCCCTCCAGCCTAGGCAACAGACAGACCCCTTCCCCACCCCAAAAAAACGTAGGTCTATTCCTAGGTCATAACTGAAAGGCTCAATATATTAATACATATTTTTAAAAAGCTAAAGAAAATTAACAATAATTATTTACAAAGTAATCTGAAAAACTATAAAATAGAGATATGTGAGGTTCACACAGCAGAGTCCTCTGGAAGCTCTGAGGGACTCTGAAATGTGAATATACACAGCAAGAAAGCACCCCTGCCTCACTAGCATCCACATGTGGAAGACGGGGCCTGAGCACAGCCACTGGCCAACATTTAGTCCTTAATGTGGAAGCACGGGAGACTACTCATGAGAATCCACTGCCTATGCTTCACTCTCTTATCCATAAAGCCCCATCGCCATGACAATAATAGCTAACTTCATTGAACGCATACTGTGGACTGGCACTGCTCTAAGCACTATATATATATATATATATATATATATATATATATATATATATATATATATATATAACCTAATTTAATCCTCAGTACGAGACCCCATGCTATGGTTTGAATGTTTATCCCCTTCAAAATTTCTGTTGAAACTTCATCCCTAGTGTGGCAGTATCGAGAGGTGGGGGCTTTAAGAAGGGATTTGGTCATGAGGACTCTGACCTCATGAATGGATTAACTCATTCATGGATTAGTGGATTAATGAGTTACCATGGGAGTGGGTCTGGTGGCTTTATAAGAGGAGGAAGAGAGACCTGAGCTAGCATGCTCAGCCCCCTCACCCCCTGTACTACCTTGGGACTCTGCAGAGTCCTCGACAGTAAGAAGGCTCTCACCTGTTATGCCCCTGGACCTTGGACTTCTCAGCCTCCATAACTGTAAGAAATGAATTCCTTTTCTTCATAAATTACCAAGTTTCAGGTATTCTGTTATAAGAAACCAAAAATAGACTAAGACACCCTGAGAAGTTAGGTAAACAGCCCAAGCTCATAAAGTCAGAAGGCAGAGGAGTTAGAATTCAACCCCAGGTAGTCTGAATGCAGAGGCCAATAAAGGTCAGCGAGTTCCATGTCCCACTTCATACATGAGCTCATTTGAGAACACTGGCAGACATAAATGCTTGCTTTTCTTAAACTACATTCCCTGTCTCTCCCTCCCACCCCAAAATATAGGTAGTAGAATCTGTGTGACACAATCTTTATGAACAATGTCATCATGATTTAAAAACACTCCCCAGCTCTATCCTTCAGATTCACGCTGAAGCCACGGACCTCCCTGAATCTAGCAGAACACCTTACACAGAGAATATTAACACATTTTGTTGGCAGTGAAGTTTGCTAAAGGAAAAGGGAACATGGAAGGGAAGATGAGCTCCATCAGGAATATCCAGTACCATGCAGTGTGCTTGGCACACAAAAGGGGCTAAAAAAGGTTTTTTGGAAAATGGAAATGTGAGAGGTAGGCAAGGTGGGGAGGAAGGGAAGATAAGAAAAGAAGGAAGGAAGGAGGGAGAAGGGAAGGAGAAGCGAAGGGAAGGAGGGAGGAATAGAGATGGAGGGAAAGGGGAAGAAGGAAGAAAGGAATAAAGAGGAGAGGATGAGAAAGAAGGACAGATGACTACTTGAGCATATGCAAAGGTCAGAGGCAAGAACCACTGTTCCAATTTGAATACCACTGTCAGTTATTAGTGAGTCTCAGACTATTTGCAGGGGTAGGAGGAGGTAAGAAGAAGGTCCTGAATTCCCCCTCCAGAACTGCACCCCAATGGACTCACCTAGATCATATCCCTTTGCCATCAATTGGGTCCTAATTACTGCAGTTACTCTTTCTGGAAGGAAAAAAGAAAGATCTTGCTTTGGAGGACAAACGTATCCATTCTTAGTCACTTAGTTTGGGAAGGAATGACCCTCCTCCTAGCTCTACCTAATGAGGGGAAGGAGGCTTAAGACTGTCAGTCTATCCCATCGTCTATAGCCCCAGAGAATCAATGAGTCAGATAAAGTACAAACCCCAACCAAAGTCAAGACTTGAGTTGATGTTTTCAGTTTTTTCTTGGAAAGAAAAGCTTTGTCTTCCATCTTCATAGACAAGCTGGTGTAAGAGCATGGGGTCTAGAAATCCTGCAGACACTTGCTATCTGGACCAGACAGTCAGAGGCTCAGAGCCTAGGGATAAGAGTGATACCATCTAAGGCAAAGCAGACAAGAGGGAATACCAGGTCAAATGGTAGTATCATGTGAGCTGCTGGATCACGGTTCACCTGAGGCCAATCTACTTCAGTTACGTGGGCCAACACATTCCTTTTGCTATTTAGGCCCCATTTCAGCTAGTTTTCTCTAATTTGCTGCACAAAGATCCCAAGTGATATGATCTCTCTGTGAGTCCTGGTGGATCTTGCATTCTTAAATACAGGCATCAACTTACAAGGAGTTTTCCCTCATGCCAGAATATAAACCACCAATGCCATCAGGGACTCTAAAAGAACTTGGAACTCCAAATGACAAATTTAACCGTCAGGCAGCAACTTGATCAGAGATGAGATGACTGGATTCCCAGGTCTGGATTCCGCCCTCACCTGTGTAGGGCATATAGATAGGGCTGACAAGATTTGTTTTCATTTTTTCCTAGGCTCGGGCATCTCATATCCAACTGCTAACACATTATTTACTAGAGGATCTCATTGTACTTAATCGATATCTTTTATGTTTCTGGTCATCAGTGTTGTCTATCTCAGATTTAAAACTTAGGCTGGGTGCAGTAGCTCACACCTCTAATCCCAGCACTTTGGGAGGCCAAGGTGGGTGGATCACTTGAGGCCAGGAGTTAAAAACCAGCCTGGCCAACATGGCAAAACCCTGTCTCTAGTAAAAATACAAAAAAATTAGCCAGGCATTTTGTCACATGCCTGTAATCCCAGCTACTCAGGAGGCTGAGGCATGAGAATTGCTTGAACCTAGGAGGTAGAGGTTGCAGTGAGCCGAGACTGCACCACTGCACTCCAGCCTGGGCAACACAGCAAGACTTCATCTCCAAAACAAAACAAAACAAAACAACCTCTAGAAGGAATCATACCTGCTTAACCCACTTTACCCAGAATATAAGGGAGAAAAGCTGCTGAAGCCTAATAAATACTTTTTAATGCAGCTGCTGCTGATGATCTTCAAGCAGATCCTGAGGCAAAGATGTAAATTTCCAACCTTACCTTGAACTACGGTCAACATTTTCCTGGAAGTCTTAAGTTAAAGCCAGGACTGCTTCTTCCAGAGTTTTACTAAACAGTAGTGATATTCAACGTCAAAGTTACAGACGTATTGGGTTGAAATTAATTCTGCTTATCTGATGTTATCTACCACCTTGGGGGTAATACAGGTCTCTCTCCCTACCCCCACCCCTACCCCCACACCAACCCACACGAATGACTTTCACTCGGAGTATAATCAGAACTTTTGCTGCCCTCACAAATAAGGAATAGTGAAGAGATTATGAGGCTTGAGCCAGATTATCTGGTACCAATATTGACTAATTTATTCTGTGTGACCTTGGGCAATTACTTAACGTCTCATCATCATATTTTTCTGTAAATACAATGTCAATAATAGTGCCTGCCTCAAATACTTCTGAAGGTTTGTATGACAATCAAACAACATACTATATAACATAGTGGTCCCCAACCTTTTTGGCACCATGGACCGGTTTCATGGAAGACAATTTTTCCACAGACTCGGGGAGGGGGATGATTTGGGGATGATTCGAGAACATTCCATTTATTGTGCACTTTATTTCTATTATTATTATGTTGTAATATATACTGAAATAATTATACAACACACCATAATGTAGAATCAGTGGGAGCCCTGAGCTTGTTTTCCTGAAACTAGATGGTTCCCATCTGGAGATGATGGGAGACAGTGACAGATCATCAGGCATTAGATTCTCATAAGGAGCATGCAACCTAGACTCCTCACATGCACAGTTCACAGTAGGATTTGCTCTCCTATGAGAATCTAATCCTGCCACCGATCTGACAGGAGGTGGCACTCATGCAGTAATGCTCACTCACCTGCTATGTGGCCTGGGGTTGGGGATCTCTGCTGTAATAGAGTTCACTTGTAAATAAAAATGCTTTCCTGAGCACACAAAACTTTCAGGCAGCATCTTGATTCACCCTGCACATCTATCTTAGATACTATCTTTCCCTCAGCATGACAGGTAAAGTGAAATCAGTGATATTTAGCAAGCATTTAAGCAGTATTTCAATAGACCCAGCTCAACACTACCCTAGAAAGTTGAAGCTGAAATCCATTTTAAAACTTTTTTGGTGGGGAGAGCTACAAAATACATTTTGAAATATAAAGCACACACAAGAACTGCAATGCTCTTTCACTCCAGAAGTACCTTCAGGCCTAAGATGACTTAACATTATCCTCCTTCATTTTAAAACGTTGTCAAGCACCAAACTTCTCTGGTGGCTTGACAAAGCATATGATTGAGAGTTAGGCCGGGCTAAACTACCTTCCTTATATCTTTTATATCACCAATAAATTTGACTAATGACTGATATCTGAGAACCTCCAACTGTGTAAGTTATGTCTTTTCCAAAGACAAGATTGCAGGCCATATATTTATGTCCTGGTTCAAACAAAAAGGAAAGCAGTAAACAGTGATTCCAGAGACAATTCAACTCACCTGAACCTAACCAATGTTTATTGGTGGTCTAGTAAATACAAACCTCTATGCTGGGAACTAGAGTCATTCAAAGAGAGCAATGATTCTTGCCCCTAGTCAGAAAAGAAGTTCCAAGAGAGAAGCTTTGTTTTATTTTTAAATAAATAGAGTTTGATTATTTTTATCACCTTTATCAAGGTATAGTTTATATAAAATAAAATTCATTACTTCTTTTTTTTTTTTTTTTTTTTTTTTGAGAAGGAGTCTCACCCTGTCGCCCAGGCTGGAGTGCAGTGGCAGGATCTCAGCTCACTGCAAGCTCTGCCTCCCAGGTTTAAGCGATTCTCATGCCTCAGCCTCCCAAGTAGCTGGGATTACAAGCCTGCGCCACCACACCCAGCTAATTTTTGCAATTTTAGTAGAGACAGGGGCTTCGTCATGTTAGCCAGGCTGGTCTTGAACTCCTGACCTCAAGTGATCCTCCTGCCTCAGCCTCCCAAAGTGCTGGGATTACAGGCGTGAGCCACCGCGCCCAGCCAAAATTCATCACTTCTAAGTGTACAGTTTCATGAGCTTTGACAAATATATATATACACACACACACACACACACACACACACATATATATATATAGCTGTGTAACTACCACTGTAATCAAGATATGGAACATTTTTATCAGCTCAAAATATATACCTCATGCCTCTTTGCAGTAATCAATGGGATTGATTTTTAAATTGAATAAATATTTTAAGTCACAAGGAATAAAAGAGAGAGGTTATTTAACCAAATGTAGCCTCGGAAGACCAAAATTGAGATTACAAAGGCAGGCCATGAAGTTAATGTTCCCGTTGGAGAACAACAGCACGCCACATGTTCGAGACTGGGTGGCACTGAGACTGGATGGCATTGAAACCCCAGTTTAAAGTAGCCTTGAATCCCTAATCAGACAGGGCGATTCTAAGGAGCTTCTTTCAGTATTGGATCCATCCACCACTGGTCAAAGTGACTTGTTTAGACCAAGAAGGGCCACATCGGTGGGAGGGCTGAAAATAGGCTGCTGGACACCCTAAATAATGACAATGCCCTTCCCGAGACAGAATCTGAGTATCAAAGAGTCCTCACAAATACAGCAGATAAAAGAGAGCTGACTTCCAAAAAAGGTTCGTCTTTCAGTTCTCATGGGAGAGTGATGACGACTATATATTTTAGCACTTGGGTTACTTAACATTCATCTAAGTGTTTTTCTGACTAACTCAGATAGCAGAAACCCAAGATGGCTCAGAAAAATTGAATAAAAGATGATGCATCCAGCATTTCCAAGAGGATTTAGCCACTATCTCCAAATCTCCTACAGTTTATAGTCTTAAGTGTTAAAAATTTATTCCTCTCACTCTAGCCAGTTAATACATAAATGCTTTTTACTAACTACAGGCCTGAGATCACTTTCCCATTAGACACCAACTCTTAGAAACACACAATTACAGACTTGAACCAGTCTCAGCATCCTTTCCAGTAGGTCAACACACAAACCATAAAGGAAGGCCACCTTATGCATCTTGTAAATGCCTTGGTAGTGAATCCAGTCCTCATTCAATTTGCCAGGGCAGGGAATAAACAACCTTGCGCTTAAGTTCAGGCTGTGGGGAGTTTTTCATTATCGACTAGGAAATAACTACAATGCAGTTGCTTCCTTTCATCTCACATTGATTAAGCTGTATTTGCTAAGAGCGTCAGTACCCACATATCATTACTAAAAATCCAACTCATTACAAACTCACCTAAATGTAAATGAAGACCACAAATCAGGCATAGTTTTATTATATCCAAAGGAGATTGGGTCATTATGCACCATTCATTTTCTTCTTATTAGTCGGGTATATTTTTCTTTGCAATCAACAGATAGTATCACCAGATGTCTCTCTGTACCAAAGTCAAAAGAAGCATGTTGATAGCTCATAGTAGTTAACTTTTTGAAATATCTGTTGGGGTGGAGGGAACATGGTATCAAAGGACTTACTGAGAAGGGGATGCTTGACTCAAGCCATAAAAGATAAAGAAGAACAAAGTGGAATGAGGTGGGGCAAAGGGAATACATTTCAGGGACAGAAGTGCATGCAAAGGCATAGAAATGTGAGGGCATCGAATTTGGGGAACTGTAAGCAGCATGACATGTTTAGAGTGTAGGATAAGAATGTCTGCAGGAGTGAAGTGTTCATAATCAGGAGATTATGCATGTTCTATAATCAGGAGATTATGCATGTTGTATAATCAGGAGACGGAATCTCCTGCAGGCATTCAAAGCCCACCAACCCATTTTAAACAAGGGAAGAAAATGCACGACTTTCTGCTTTAGAACAACTGCCCTTGGGACAGTACAGAAGAGGAAATGAAGAAGAGGAAGTCTAGAGGAAGTGGGAACAGTTTATTGACTATTACAATAGTCCAAGCAAAAGATAATGAGAACGTAAATTAGGAAAGGAAAAGTAGGAATGGAGAAGAAATAATGATTTAAAAACATTTAAGGGATCCTTCTAACAAAACCCAGTGATTAGTGGTACATCTGGAATGAGGGATTATTCCAAGGTTTATTATTTAGATAATAGGTGACTCATGCAGAGACTAAACACAGGAAAAACAATTTTCAGGAAAAATTAGAAAAGTTGCTATTTATACATGTTAAATTTGAGTTGTCTATAACAGATCTGTCTACTGATATCAATTTGGCTATCGAAATCAGGAGTAAAATTTTGTCTAAAGATAAAAGATGAAAATTAGAAGTGCCTAAAACTGACAACGGGTCTAGTATCTAGATCATCCAAGGAACTTCTGCAAATTCATCAGACTAAAAAGAAGAACCCTAAATAGAAAAAAAAAAATGGTCAAAGGACAGGAATAGGCAATTAATAGAAAAGGAAACTCCCAAATTTCTCAAGCATATGAAGAGATGCTTAAGCTCATTAGTAATGTGAGACATGAAAAATTAAAATTGCAATGGTATGTTACTCTCTATCTAGTCTACTGGATAAAAATTAGAAAGTTAGACAACATGAAGTGTTGGCCTGGATTTGAAGATGCAGGAACTTAGAGACCGGTTGGAGAAGCAGGCAAGAGATGGGCATTCTGGAGTGCAATCTGACAGTATTTGGTTAAAATTGACTAAATTAAGTATAGACACCCCCTCTGGCCCAATAATTCTGCTTCTGAATACACGTGTTGAAGAGATTCTCACACATATCCACAGGGTGCCTGTGCAGCAGTATTCACTGTGATAGGAAGTGAGAAGCAGTCTGAGTGTTCATTGCTGAGGGAATCAAGGGCAAAATATCATGGATGCACTCATGGACAAATAAGCAGCAGTTTGAAGCAACACCCTAGATGGATGTACAGCCATCAAGAGGATCTTAAAGTGTGGTCTTTAGTGGAAAAAAAGGTAAGAAATCAAATACAATCTCTTATATAGTACTAGTCATATTAAGTAAAAATATATGCAAAAAATATATACACAAAACCCAATAAACACATTTTTTGTGGTTGTCTATGGTGGGGCAGTCAAACAGAGAGAAAAGAAATGCATTATCATTTTTAAAGTAATAAGAAATGAGCCTTCAATCAGACCAATTATTAAAGGATTGTTCAATGATGAGTATGATTAAGTCGACTCTCTATGCCTGAAGTCCAAAAAAGAGGGAAGAGGATGAGACTAGGAGATAAGCAAGTAGAAATAAGCAAAAAGATGGGCCATTGTGCCATTTATGCTGGTGGCTTTTTGTCCCCTTCTACCCCAAAATCCCCACTTCATCAAATGCCCTGTTCTCTTCCCCAGGAGGCAGAACTCCATAGGCTGCCCTCTGGCTTCCAGTGCGGTTTGGTTATAGGAGGCACCAGCAGGAGGTTGGAGGGTGAGAAGAGACAAGTTGGGGCATTTCTCCCCCCTGCCAAGTTCAGCTCTTGTCTGACCGCCCACTTTTCACAACTCCAGATCTCACTAGGCTGTGGTCACCCTGACCTCTCCCCTGGACCCTTCTTAGTCCTAGGGGTGTTAACAGCTTCCTGCTATTGCTGTTGCTAAGGTACCTCCCCATTCCTTCTTGTGTTTTTTGGTTTCCTTAACCTCATCCGTTCCTTAGACCAGGTTATTAAGTTACAATTACTAAATTCTCTTTAGTAAGACCTTTTTGAGGGTGCCATCTCTTTCCTGCCTTGATCCTAACTGAATCAGCTATACAGAGTTTCAGGGCAATAACTTACAGGATGAAGGGCTTTCTTCTTTTTTTCTTTTATGTTAATATAGGTTACATTTGAACATATTTATCTGCTAAAGCGAAATGTTTCCCATCATTCTATAGCAGAAGCAATGTATGGGAGACTGAGTAATTACATATGAGCTCACATCACTATCTCTTCCACCACTGTCATCCATCATGACTGATCTGGGAGATGAAACAGCACAGATCTAAAGGACGTGGTAAGAATCGAGATCACCAGAGATCAGTAGATACTTGCATACTTGGAGGATTAACACTGTCTGGATTCCAACGATCAGCTGAGTATGTTCAAGATAAAGCTATAGTACATATTTTAGATTGGGAATTGGCAACAAATAGCTGTAGACTACCTTCTGAGGAATAAGTGTTTTCACATGTGTGGGTGTCATTTCTAATCCCAGCATCACAGTCAGGTCCAGATACCTGTTTCTGATCTTTGGTCCTATGCCTAATCTCCTCCAAGAGTCCTTCCCTGGATCTCCTATCTAAGCAAGATGCTCGATGCCCACCAATGAGTACTGCACCAAGTTCATTTCCACTAGCCTGTGTTACAATTTGTGTTTCTGTATGTTTCCCTTACTTGTTATTCTTTGTCTTCCCCATTAGACTGAAAGCACCGCCACGGGGACCGTGTCTAGGACATAGGAGGTCCTTAATAAATATTTCTTGAGTGGATAAATGGTGAACCATAGGGGTGGCATAAGAGCAAATAGAGGGTAGATGAGCACTAATCCATTCACCACCCTGTTTATGGGTGGTGGACCTTGGATGGCCTTTTTCATAGTCAAAACATACTTTTTAGATCTGCCTTCTTGGGATGTATTCAAGGATGCTAGCCGTGTTTGAGACTGTAAATATGTCTAGTGAATAGGGCTTCAGGCTGTGTGTGTTTGCCTTGTTTTGCACAGAATTCGGCACAGCCCCAAGCACAGATGGGTGCTTCATAAATATTGTTGAAGGATGATGACACAAAGGATTATTTAATACCTCTGACCTCAGGCCACAAACATACTTTCAATGTGTTTTACTTCTGAAATCATTTGAACCAGAATGTTTCAGCAACACAGATTCATCTGCAACCACAAATCAGACACATTTAGAATGACAAAGCCCCAAAAGAATGCCATTTTCAAGGCTGAAACTGTATTATTCTGGGCTAAATGGAATCCTTGTTTTAGTGACACTGTAAGAGTAGAAATTAAAGACACTGAAAATCTTCCCTTGGGGAACCACAATTATCTGTGAACAATGAAAGTTTGTCTGAATAATTCATCAGCCTCAAGGGTACAGGCCTCCCCTTATTCTGGAATCCCAGGAGTTTAGGCAAGTGTGTCATTTAATGGGTCTCAACTGTGTCCTCAGTTGTTATTATTCCAGGGCCTGGCATTTATGGGCACATTCCTATAATTTTACTAATTAAAAAAAAATAAGCTATATGGGAAACCACTGTCAAGGTCAAAATTTTGAAGCTGCATTGATTTTACCTAGGAAGAAAGAAGCTTATAAAGTGTCCATCATGAGAATCCACCTGGGACCTACACAACAGATCAAATACCCAGAACAAATCACCACGTCAGAGCCCCACAGAATTCTGATTCCCAACCAACAAGCATGAGTAATCCTTTTAAATGGTCACTTACATATCAGAACAGGTCCTTTGTGAAATTTCTAAGCAAGGCCTCTGGTTTCTGACTGAAACAGAGATTTATTGAGAAGGAGGGGTAAAGTGAAATCAAGAACTGCTGGGAAATTTCCACAAGAAACAAGGACAAATGGTTTTTGTTGTCAGAGTAAAACCAGCCTCCCCTAGCCATGGTTTGGAAAGTTATTTGCTAGCCCACAGGGGACAATATTCTCAACTGGTTTATCAGGGACCCTTTTGATCCAATTATAGTTATTGGGCAGATACAGTAGTACCCTATTATCAGAAGACCTAGTTTCAAATCCTGAGTCAACTTCTAATTCACTGTGTGACCTTGTACAAGTCACTTAAGCTCTCTGATCATTGGTTCAACATCTTTAATATGAGGAGAGTAATGCCTATCTCAATTACCTCATAAAATTATTGCAAAGATCAAGTGAGTTGATATGTTACAAATTATTTCTAAATTATAAGATTCTGTATAAGTGGAAGGGTTAAATATACTCCCATATTATTAAATACCCTACGTATCACTCAGGATTCTATATGACTCTGAGTTCTCAATTTCTAGAAATGGTCCCATTTTTACTTTGTTCCCTACAATTCTACGGAGTCTTTTTTTTTTTTAAAGGAAGGGTGTAGGCAAAGGTAAATGGGAGAAAACATGGAATCACATACCACTCTTTGGTGCTGCTAGGCAAGAATTTTAAACTGAGTTTAGGTCACCATCGTGGACTTAAGGTCCATATCACCTCAGGGAGACAAGTAGAGTGGGAGGCATCCAAAAGGTAGGTGATTCTTCTCCCCTCTAGTGAAGAATACAAGGTCAATTTACAAAAAAGCACCAGCAGCAAATAATTGGAAAATTAAATTCATAAAACATTTATAATAGCGTCAAAAAAAAGAAAATACTCAGAAATAAATTTGACAAAAATTGTATAAGATCTCTACATTAAAAATTATGAAATACATGTAAGAGAAATTAAAGAAAACCTAAATAGAGAGATATACCACATTCATGGATTGGAAGATTCAAGATTATTAAAATACTATTCTCCCCAAATGGCTCTATAGATTCAACATAATCCCAATCAAAATCCCAGTAGGCTTTGGTAGAAATTGAGATGTTGGTTCTAAAATGAAATAAAATGCAGAGGACCTAGAATATATAATTTCCCTTTAATTTGACAAAGAAGAAAAACATGTTGGGAAGCTCACCTAATTTCAGTGTAATATTTACATACGAATCAACAAATGGATCAGTGGTATAGAATAGAGAATCCTGAAATAGATCTACATATATATGGCCAACAGATTTTTAATAATGGTGCCAAGGCTATTCAGGGGAAAGAAAATTCTTTTTTAAAAATGGGATTGGAAAAACTGGATAAGGGAAATAAGTGAACCTCGACCCCTACCTTATACCGTGCTCAAAAATTAATTCAAAATCATTCTAGACATAAATGTAAAAGTTGAAACTGCAATGACTCTAGAAGAAAATATAGAGAAAATATCTCTCTGACCTTGGAGGAAGCAAAAATTTCTTGTAGTTGACAAAGACATATATAATAATCATATAATCCATTAATTATAAGAAAAATAAACTAGACTTCATCAAAATTTAAAACTTCTGCTCATCAAAAGATACTAATAAGATTAAAAGTAGCCAGGTTCAGTGGCTCATGCCCATAATCCCAGCACTTTGGGAGGCTGAAGCAGGGGGATCACTTGAGGCCAGGAGTTTGAGACCAGCCTAGGCAACATAGCAAGATCTCATTTCTACAAAAAATGTTTTTAAAATTAACTGGGTATGATGGCGCATGTGTAGTCCTAGCTACTCAGGAGGCTGAGTTGGGAGGATTGCTTGAGCCCAGCAGTTGAAGGTTACAGTGAACTATGATCGTACCACTGCACTCCAGCCTGGGCAACAGAGTGAGACCCTTTCTCTAAAATAAACAAATAAATAATTTTTATGTCATCTGAAACTAAGATCATACTGAAATTTTCCCTCAGTGTCTCCAGAATGTCTTTTTTGAATGGTTTGCCCAATGTAGTATCTCATTTAGAACCACGTGTTATGGCCCTTCAGTATTTTTTTGTTGTTGTTGTTGTTGAGACAGAGTTTCACTCTTGTTCTCTTGTTGCCCAGGCTGGAGTGCAATGGCATGGTATCGGCTCACTGCAACCTCTGTCTCCTGGGTTCAAGCGATTTTCCTGCCTCAGCCTCCCAAGTAGCTGGGATTACAGGCATGCGTCATCATACCTAGCTAATTTGTCCCATAGAATCTCATCTTCTGGATTTTGTGGCTATTTTTTCATGGTGTTGATTCATTCATAAGGTAAAATTTATATACAGTGAAATGCATTTTATGGGTACAATTCAATGAGTTTTGAAAAGTGTGCACATCCATGTAACCACCACCCAGATTAAGACACAGAACATTCCCGTCACCTCAGAATGTTTCCCGGTGCCTTCTTCCTACCCCTCATACAGTAACATTGTAATAATTTCTATTGCCACATATATGTTTACCTGTTCTGAAACTTCACAGAAATGGAATTATATATTATGTATTTGTTTGTTACTGGCTTTTTATCATTTAATTTTTTTTTATTCATCCACACCCACTGCATGTGTCAGTATTTCATTCCTTCTTGTTATTGTGTAGTATACGAATATATAAATATATCACTATTTTTGCAATCTCCTGTTGATGGACATTTGTATTGTTTCCAGTTATTAGCTATTATGAATCATGCAACTATGTATATTATTATACAGGTCTTTTGTGGACACATCTCCATTATTTTTGGGTAAATATTTAGGAATGGAATGTTGGTCAGCTGTAGGCTCCATTTTACAAGAAACTGCCAAACTGTCTTCCATTCTACACTTTTGTTTGCAATGTATGAAAGTTCTGGTTGCTTCCTATCCTAATCAACATTTGGTGTGGGACTACAGGAACATGCCACTACACCTGATTGATTAAAGAAAATTTTTTGTAGAGACAGGGTTTTGCTCTATTGCCCAGGCTGGTCTTGAATTCCTGGCCTCAAGTGATCCTCCCACCTCAGCCACTCAAAGCTCTAGGATTACAGGTGTGAGTCGCCACGACCGGCCAAAATTTATTAATTGGTAGTTGGCAATTGTTGATGGAAAAGAAAAAGCAGGTTACAAGCAATGTACTTTTTGATGTCTTTGGTATTATCACAGGCAAATAAATTATATATGTATATATATTATGTATATTATATTATGTATTTTAATTATATGTGTATAACGTATATGTATAGAAAGAGATACAGTAAGGAATATAAGTTTTTCTATTAACATAGGTAACCCAAGGTAGGGGATAAGATGTTTACATTCTCTTATTTGTGTTTTCTAACTTTCCACCAGGCACATACACTGTTTCTATAATAACACGTGCTGGTTGAAAATGTCAGACTCTGAAATTCAATGTTTTATAATATAGGGTGATAGACAAGAGGGATGGATAGAGCAAGAAGAATGAAACCTAATAGGGTTAGTTAGAGCCCTACTGAGTGAATCTCTTGTTGGGTATTTTCCATGCACTGTCTCGTTTCATTCTTACAATAAACCTATGAAGTATCATTTTTCTATTTGTACAGCGCTAATAAGGCTATAAGTTAGCATTTGAACATAATATAATCTGACCTCAAAACCCATGCTTTTTTTCCCTCACTTATACATACATACTTTCAGGTTAATAAGTTCTGTTGCTAAACATTTATGTAGTATTTACTATGTACCAGGCACCATGTTAAATGTTCTACATGAAGCACCTCATTTGTACTTCATGACAATCCATATAAAGATACCACTATTATTATCCACATTTTACAGATAAGAAAACTGAGGCACAGAGACTAAATAAATCTAAATTCCCACAGCTAGTAAGTGGCAGAGCCAAGAATTAAGCTCAGGCCACCTGATTCTCCAGCTTCTACCCAATACACTATACCGTGTTCCCATGTTTTCAACACATTCCCAAATGGAGCAGGGGAGAATAAGCGCCAGCAACCAACAAAGGAGACATCGACGCCAAAGGTCTACCATAAAGTTTTTCACGGTGACATCCTTGCTTACCTGTCCAGGGCCATGCTGGTTGGCATACTCCTCCCAAACCCGCGGACCCCCATCTGATGGAAATATGGAATGCAAGAGAGGTTGGCAGCAATGATGGCCAGGGAGTCAGAAGGGCTCACAAAGAAGCCATTTTGGCCTAGGATCATATAACGGTCCTGTAGGAAGGAATGCGTAAAAATGATCGGACAGAAGCATCTGCTAGCAGCCCATTCCCATAATCATCACAATCCACTTTACTGCCATCTTATATTTAACAATCTAACAACTTGAATGAGGCCAAAGAGAACATGGGAAACATTCTTCAAAATCTCTGAGTACCAAGGGCCCAGATTCTTGACACACCAGGAATATGTTCCACCTGTTGAAATGTGGCTCAAGCTTTAGAAGCCCCCAAATACCTAATTCTTTCTTTCTCCCAAACATAATGGAGAACACTGCTTCTTGCAGAAATAGCTGATTTCTTAACTTGGTGCTTTCAACAACACCAGCCATAAATAAAGATTTATTGAATAATATATATTTTTAAATAAACAACCTTTGTATGCCATAATGTAAATCTGGAACTAAGAAAAGTAATCGCTATTTAATTGCAATACTTAGTCATTAAACAGAAGGGCAGATGCAGAGCCAGTTAGGGCACACATGCCCCATACATGTTAGCTCCAGATGTGTTCATTAATTCTCTGCTTTCCAGTGCATGGCTCATTATATGATCAAAGGGTCAGCAGACAGAGAGCTTTCCTACTTACCCCATCAGCATCAAATGCAGCTCCAAATCCATATTCTCCTCCTTTCATTGCTTCCAGAAGAGTCATTGCATATGTCAGGTTTGGGTCAGGGTGCTGCCCTCCAAAGTCTTCCAGGGGAACACAGTTTATTGCAGAATTGGCTGGGGCCCCCAGCTCATCACACAGAACTTTTCTCACATAAGGTTCCATAACTAAAAATAGATACACAGCAATATTAAATATTTGCAGAACCTTCTCCCCAGAGTATTTTGTTCTGAATAGTACAGGAAACACCATTTAATAACCCAGAAGAAAAATATAAATTTACAATCGTTTTAAAGATACAATATAGAACAATATTTGCTTGAACTACTATTTATTGAGCATCTACTATGTGCCAGTTACTGTGGTAGGAATACAGAAGATGTATTCAATCATCTAGTTACATACATTTTTTCACCTGAAATTTTTCTAAAAGTTTGCCAGAAAGAAATCAGCTACATAATAATGATTCATTGCCTGTTGCTTTTCATGTATTAAAAGCTTTAGCTGAATATATGCAAAAGCATTAAAGGGCTCTAGCAATGTTCTTTGTTTCTGCAATCATTTGGACTTTGCCAAGTATATAATTAAACACTATAAACCACTGAAGCATATAAAAACAAGCACATTTTACCAAAATACATGCCAAGGAATAGTATTTTCCAGTTCAATGAACATTATGGAGTATGCAATATGGAGCTGCTCTGCTAGGAAATGAAGGGATCATATTGAAGGGATGCAAAGCACATAGTTTCTACATTCCTGGGCTTGTAATCTAGTAGTGGGATGAGTCAAAGCTGCAAATGAAT
This sequence comes from Homo sapiens, assembly GCF_000001405.40. Lineage (NCBI taxonomy): Eukaryota > Metazoa > Chordata > Mammalia > Primates > Hominidae > Homo > Homo sapiens. Next base: position 41,041,190 of record NC_000009.12, read on the forward strand.
GACTGCAGTGGTAAGACTAAACAATGCACATTGATGAAATAATTATATCCAATGGCTTCAGAGAAGCAATAACCACACATAAGGCTTCAAGGAAGAAGCAGCATTTCTGGTGGAACTTGACAGAATAATATAAAGTTGGCAAGTGTTTGGGTTTGGAGTGGGAAGCCCATCTAAATCGAAGGAACATTATGAGCAAGGGAACAGAGCCTGAGGTAGAACATAAGGCACATTTGTGGAACAGCATGTAATCCTCCTAGCTGAAATATCTGAAAGATATTGCTTTCCACTTATTTTCCACCAATACAACACACAATCCTCCAATAGTGAACATCTCTTGATTGTGCCTGCCCAGCACACATTTCCTCTTCCTCTGGATACAGCATTTGGGATTTCTATTGGAGAAAAACTCCCTTCCCCATCTCAGTTCATGGGGTCTGGGTATGGCTAAATCCCACCTCCCCAAGGCTAAGGAGGTGACCTAGGTCTGCGCAATCAGCGTCCTCCATCTTCTAGCCAGAGCAATTGATTCAAAGATGGACATACAGTATAAACCAGGCAATGAGGCTGAAACCCAGAATCATTGCTCATACTATTTGGAAAAAAAGCAAAGCTGTCTTCCCTGTAGGCCAGATAATGCTAAGGCAAGAACCTGAAAGTTCTTTTCCTGAGGAATATGATCAGCCCAACAAGAAAGAACAGAACAGCCTAGCCAGAAGCCCTTAGAGTAAGGCCCATGGAGAAGACCCACAGCAGGCTCAGAGCTCCCAGCAGATTTTTAGTGCCTCATTCTTAAATATGCCAGAAAGCCAAGGATCACCAAAATTTTGAGGAATGTATTTGAGATGAGGTGAAAATAAACAAAAAGTAAAGAGAAACCTGGAGGAAACAAAAATTATACAGGGAGAAGAAAACTTTTTAAAATATATCAGTAATATCCTAATAGAGATTAACAAGATAGAGTAGAATGGCTAAAATGGAAAAGACTGACAGTACCAAGTATTGGTGAAGATACAGATAAACTGGAGCCCTCATGCATTGCCAGTGGTGCAAATGGAACAGGCATTTTGGAAAATGATTTGGCCATTTCTTATAAAGGTAAACATACACGTATCATATGACTCAGCAATCCCATTCCTAGCTGTTTACCCAAGACAAATGAAAACGTACAGACTTGTTCACGAATGTTCACAGTATCTTTCTTTACAATAGCCAACAACTAGAAGAAAAATCTAATTTTCATTAACCAGTGAATAGATAAACAAATGGTGGTATATCGACAACACAATAAAATTGTACTCAGCAGTAAAAGGAACAACTACTGAACTACTGATACATGCAACACCAAGAATGTATATCAAAATTATTATGCTGAGTGAAAGAAGCTTGAAGCAAAAGGTGACATATTGTATGCTTCCATTTATATAACTTTCTGGAAAATGCAAAACTATGGGAGCAGAAAGCAGATGAGTGGTTGCCAGGGGCTGGGGATAAGGGGAGAGGTTTGACTACAAAGGGCTGCAAAAAACTCTTTGAGGTGATGGAAATATTCAATCTTGATTGTGATAGTGGTTACATGGCTGTATATATTCGTCAAATCTTATCAAACTGTATATCTACTAGGAGTGAGTTTTATTGTGTATAAATTATACCTCAGTAAACCTAAGTTTAAAAAGATACGGTATCCATGAAACATAACTAGGATGTATTTTTACAAGAGAGAATCTTTGGAAAATACAAACAAAAGTTTTGGGAAATTAAAAATATAATGGTAGAACTAAAGGACTGGAAGATAAAGTCAAGGAAATTTCCCAGAAAGTAGAACAAAATAAAGAGATGAAAAACTGGGGAGGAGAAGGGGAAATAGAATAATTAAAGGATCAATTCAGTAGTAAAAATAACCAGAATGGTTACTAAATAGTAATTCAAAAACTTTTCCAGAATTAAAGGACACAAGTGTTCAGACTGAAAGGGTCCATCAGGTGTCCGATATAATAAAGATAGAGTCCCACACTAAGATCCATTATTGTAAAACAGAGGAACACTGAAGATAAGTCAAAGGTCCTAAAAGCTTCCAGAGAAGAAAAAGGAAAGACAATGGATTAAAAATCAAAATAGCACTGGATTTCTCAAGTTTAATATAATAGCTAAAACACAGTAGAGCAATGCCCTCAAACTTCTGAAGAAAAATAATATCCAACATAGATTTCCATATCAGTCAAATATTAATCAAGGGCAAGTGTAGAATAAAAGGCCTTTTCAGATATACAATACACAAAATATTTACCTACCATGAGCTTTCTCTCACTGAGTTCCTGGAGAATGTGTTCCTCCAAAATGTACCAGTAAATCAAGGTGTCAGACAAAGAAACCAGGGGACAGGACATTTAACATAAGAGATGTGTAAAAAGAATTACTACCATGGTGATAAAGGGAGATTTCATGATGACAGCATGCTCAGAGAGCAACCAGGGCAGAGTGGGGCAGATCAAAGTCTCCAGGAAAATGAAGTGAAGGAAGATTTAGACACTAGCGGAGAGCTTGAGGATTAAGAGTGGTAAACATACTTGATTAAAAGCAAGCAATGAGAAAACAAGATAATTGCTGTTTCCAAGGAAATCAAAAAGTTGTACTGTAAAGGAAATATAATTATAGCATATTGCATGGCTCAGCAGTGTTGTGGTAATGTAAACACTAGATAATGATCTTACCAAACTGGTGATATAATTAGGGAAGCATGCTAGGATTCCCTAACTGGTGGGTGGAAAGGGTGGGTGGAGAGGTGGGTGGTGGGTGGAGAGGGTGAAAAAGAGCTGCAGCTCCAGTTCCTGTAGTATGAATTCAGTAATGCTCAAAACTGAAAAATCAACAAGGGTCTGTATATTCATAATATTTAATGATAGGGAGATAAATACAAAAAGAAACAGCTGAAAAAATTGAAAAATTTAACTCTGGAAGGTAACAAATTGGGGGAAGATAGGAGTTGGGTACAGATTTTTTTCACAATAAATCTTGAACTATTTATTTGACTGTTTAAACTATGCCATGCATATGATCAAATAAATAACAGTTTTACTATACTCCACACTTGAACATGCATAGCCTCAAACTCATTTGTTCAACTTTTGTTTTCATTTACATCCAAAGACAGAAATAAGGGTCCTGAAGTTTTCCAGAGCATTCCAAATATCTGAACATACACATGTTGTGTGAATATCTATGAATCCAACTTTCCTCTTAACCTCTGAAACCCAACAGGTGTAGAGGTCTCAATATTTCCTGCCCACTGATTTGGAGAAAATCACAAGCTTACCTCCATGCATTGCATCAACGCGAATCTTCAGTTGGCTGGGCCCAGTCAGCAAACTCTTGATGGCATGAAAGTCAAAGATGGTCTGAAGGAGGTTAAGATAGATATCCACTGGGTCCACTATCTCCACTAAAGATAGAAAAACAAAGGAAAATGTCATTGACTGTACCCATGAAAGATACTTGGAAGCATAAAAAGAATCACTACCTTAACAGCATGAAATTCTGGTCACAAGCCCATCATATCCCTACACATGACGTGGGAAGCGAAGTGCCCATTTGTTGACAAAAATCACAAATCAGGGCACAATCAAGATACTACAAGCTTTTCAGGTGCTCAATGGGTACAAATGATACCAAGTTATAAATTATTCTTTGCAAGGAAAATATCAACCACAAGAATAAATTAAGATTAAAATGTGCCCTGTTACTCCTGCTCCCACTTCCCCTCCCAAAAAAATGCACACAGCACACATCTCAATGTTTAGAGGCATTTTGGCATATCCAGTTGCCTTTCTTGTGGGGGCTGGCCAAAGACTGACTCAGCTGGTATGAAACAAATCAGCAAGTGACCTCAGTAGTGACCCCTGTTTTCCAAATGCCATTGTGCCTACCAGATTCGAGTGCAGAATTGGTGATGAATATATTCCTGGGTTTGCGTGAAATCTCATTCATGCCCAATCTAGCACCCAATTTCCAAGTGAATGGCAAATATCTAGAAGTTCTCATTAAACACAAATGCTTTCCAGTATCTAGCACCACCCAGTAACCAAGAATCCAAAAAGTTTTATTCATTTATGTGACATACCAAAAAGCTCAGAATACATTTTTCATACTTGTCAATCAGTGTATAATTAATGCTCGGAAAGTACTTTTCCAAGAAGTAGTAAATCAATTCTTTAGGTGCTAAAATTTGTCCAGGAGCCCTGCTTTTTTAAATTCTTAGCTAAATTTTGAAACTTATGTATATTGTTTTCAGATTTTTCAAATACATACTACTTTGAAACCCTGAAATACTTTTAAACTTGCACTGAAGATATTACCAACCCACTTTCAATAATTTTTAGTAAATCCAGGTGTGATATTTAATGGATGAGATCTTAATATGCCATATATTATCCCTTCATCTGATCAAATACATATCTAAAAATATTTTTTCTTACACTTAAGTCAATGTAATCTATGTGTTCATTCAAATATAGTTATATTTGTAACATGGATACTTTTAAATTATCTTTTTACATGAGGAGCATAATAATCTACGAAGTAATTAAAAATTAACCTGTATAAAGTGTACACCTGACAGTGGTTAAAATGGTAAATTTTGTTATGTATATTTTACTGCCATAAAAAAATTAATCTGTAAGACAAAAGGTTATGCCCTGAGTACTTTGGAAGTTTTACTCACTCTACATTATAGGATAATGTTTTTGACAATTTCATTCTGGCTCTTCAATTCTTGAACCACTTGCCTAAATACATTTGGTATTTACAATAGGTAACACACAGTACCAAACAAATGTGAAAAACGAGGGAACAAGAAGTCAGTAAAAATTGAAAGTTCACATCATATAGTTCATGCTCTTGACACTTTAAAGTGAAATGCAAAGGAATTATTTGTTCCTAATTAACTCAAGCTTTGCTCAACACTTGAACCAGCAAGAATACAGCACATAAATTATCCCAAACGATTATCTCCAAATTCTTGGAAGCCAGGGAATCCCTCTACCTATCTCCTGGTATCAGTAACATTTTTAGAAAACTCATTCAACTAGCAATGTGGCTGCAGCAATGAGCCTGAATGAGAGCCCACGAAGATTCGGGTCTCTTGGACAACTATAAAAATTGTGAAGATGCCAAAAATAAGCCTAGTCCTTCCAACCATATGTAATCAGCGTATTGAAATCATTTTGCTTAATATAATGTACCCCTTGCCTTTAATTGTCCAGCCATCCCATGCGTGTGCACACATATGCCTATGCATTCTCCCAGCTAGATTAGCAAAAGCAGGCCCTGTTGCTTCCAGTGAGTATCATGGCTCTCTGTAAATTTCTGCTCATTACCTAAGCAAACAACTGACTCAAAACTTCTCAAGAAAGATTTGGTAACACTGGGCAAATACTGTGACCCCCACACAATCCATTTTAATCTTTTCTCTATCCCTAAAATATCACATGGACACAAACCAGGTATTTCCTCTTTTGGGCTAAGTTAAATTACTTATAAAATGAGGATACCATCTTAACACAAACTGCATTCAAGCTTATAGAAGCACTAAAAAAGTAAAACATATTAGATCTATTGCTATTCTATGCCTTCTAGGAAAAAGCAATATGATAAAATATAGGGGGAAAATGTTGTATACATACATGTTATTAATGTTGTTGTCATATGGTCTAAAATTAATCTATAAAACAAAAAGCTATCTTCTGAATACTGTAGAAGTTATATTTGCTTTACAATATAAGATAATATTTTTGACAATCTCATTTTGGTTCTTTAATTTTTGAATCACTTGCCTAAATATATTTGGTAGTTACTGAATTCCTTTGTAAAATCTCCTAACACGGTGCTTGGTATAGGGCAAGTGATCAATAATTATGCATTCAATAAGCTGATGCGTAATTATTCCAAGCTTGGTTATGGCTTGGAAAAGAAACTCCTACCTTTCATGAGAAATTTAATAACCCATTGACTTGTTAGGTTTCTTCTTAACTAAGGCATTCCAGCATCTTCACCTTAATTGCTTAGACAAGTTTTGGCAATTCACAGCCTATTTTTGGAATGCTATAATGAAGTCAACCATAAAACTTTTCCTATGTTGAAAATGATATCGAGTTTGGGAAGTGGTTTTTGAAAGTTTCCAGTTCTGAATATCTTGGCTGCTCTCATGTCTTCTCTCTACACCATATTAAGTTTACACACATTTATCGAGTCACCCCTGAGATTAACAATGCAATAATTTTCATGAGTTTACTTCCCTACAGAAACCAGTCAGCCCCATCCACATAGTTACTCTGACTTCTTCAAAATAAAATCTCTGTTACCTCTGAATGGTTTGAATTTGTTCTCTAGGTCAAATTCTTGTCTTCCTAGTCGAGATAGGTCGATTTGGAGATCAGGACATATAGCATATTCCTCAATCGTTTTGCTGATTTGGTAGATTTTGTCTGAGACAACATCGGGTGCAGGACCTAAAATTTGAACACCAAAAATACATGTTTTTAAAAGTCTCGTGAGTTTCAAGCAGTGAAATGTTACCATCCTCCTCCACCAGGCAGAGAAAGATTCATTTGTTCTCTAAACAATGATCAATGGTTCACAGTTCAATTAGCCTTGATATTTCTTATACTGTACTCATCCACTATGGGGGAAATTTGATCAGCCTCACCTGTTCTATGTAGACTAACAACCCATATGTTTGTTTGTTTGTTTTAATCCACTTCTAAGCAATGACACATCTTTCCTAAAAATAGTTTCACACCTGCCAGGGAAACCTGGTTATGTAATCAGCTTTATTCAGGTTATGAGACACAAACAGGATATGCATTTGACAGAAGTGAGGGATTCCAGATTTCCATGCAGCTTCCCCAGTGCATCTAGAAGAGGAAACTATGCTTTCTATTCCCAGCTCTGCTACCTAATTGATGTGTGAGCTTAGCAGGGTAAGTTAATTATTTTCCCCAACTCACAATCTCTAATCACTTCTAAAATGAAGCTCAACTAAAAATATATGATGCATTTCCTCGGAAGGCCAAATTGACAAGTAGTATTAGACTTTAAATAAATTGAACATGAAATCAATAATTGTTCACCTTTTGGGGTTTTGCTTTTTTTTTTTTTTTTTTTACCTTGTATATCTTAATGCAAGCCATTTCAGATTTTTTTTTTTTGCAACAAGGTTGAGAAACAAATAAGTAGATTGAAAGATCTAAAGTATAAATGATTGCTAGATGTATAGATAGTTTTCTGTATGAATCTTACTTGTCAACTATACTGTAACTTTCTACTGAACAAAAATTGTTTCTTGATTTTTAAAATATCTCAATCCTTAGAACTGCATTGTCCAATACAATTGTTACTAGTCACATTTAGCTGTTGAGCACTTAAAATGTGGCTAGTCAAGTTGAGGTGTGCTGCAATTGTAAATGCACACCAAATTTTGAAGAGTTAGTAGAAAATGCAATCGATTGCATTAATAATTTTTATATCGATGACATGGTATAATAATATTTTAGATATAGTAGTTTAAATAAAACACAATGTGAATTTCACTTGTTTCTTTTCACTTTTTTAATGTGGCTACTAAAAATGTAAAGTATGTATGTGACTCACAATATTTTTCTGTTGGACAATGCTGCCTTAGAGTGTAGCACCATCACTGTATTCCAATAAATGCTCATAAAAAAGAATAGCAATAGTCCTATTCTAGTAAGTGGGAGAGAAGACAGCCCAGAAGATTTTACCAACAATTTTCTTGTTGTGTGGGAAAAGTGAAGACCTCAAAGAAATAAAAATAGCCCTTTGCTTCACTCCTTACCATTTTTTACCCTTCACAAAACTTAAAGAATAGGTAGTCTTGTTTCATTTTTGCATTATTTTATGCTTGCCAGATTACAGAATGCATGAATATCTCCCTCCACTCCCTACACCCCAGGCACCATACTATATTCTTTGGCTGTGTCCATCATTTTCAAGTCCCTGAGTTTTAATGCCAGCACACTGATTTCCAAAAGTAAAGCAAGTACTGTCTCTCTAGATAGTTGTCTATGATGCCATTCAACCATCCATGCTGATAACTTCAGAGTTCATCAACAACTTCTGAATTCCTTTTCAATTTCCAAGCTCCTTGCTATCTTCCACTCCAATGACTTTCACCATATGCACACCGAAAATATGTACAATTATAATATATATTAAAATAATTGTTTTTTAAAGGATACGGCAAATCTACAGGCACTCATATAAAAATAAATTTTAAGATGCTAAAAAAGAATACCCAGAGATTTTAAAGTGTATAAAATAAATAAATGAAAAATGGAAAAGCTAAAAAGCTTTTTAATTTGAGGTAGTCCCATTTATTTGTTTTTGCTTTTGTAGCCCGAGCTTTTGATGTGATATCCAAGAAATCATTGCCAAGGCCAATGTCAAATAACTTTTTCCCTATGTTCTTTTCTAGGATTTTTATGGTTTCAGATCTTATGTTTAGTTCTTTTATTCATTTTGAGTTTATTTCTGTGTATAGTGTAAGATAAGGGTCCAATTTCATTCTTTTACATTTTTGTTTTCCCAGGCACCATTTATTGAAGAGGTTTTTTTCTTTCTCCATTATGTCCTCTTGGTGCCCTGCTCCAAAATTAGTTGACTATATATGTCTTGATTTATTTCTGGGCTCTCTATTCTGTTCCATTGGTCTACGTTTCTGTTTTTATGCCAGTATCATACTGTTTTGGTTTTACTTTAGCTTTGTAATATAATTTTAAATCAGCAAGTGTGGTACCTCCAACTTTTTTCCCCTCAACATTGCTTTGGTTTTTTGTGGCTCCATACAAATTTTAGTATTGCTTTTCTATTTCCATGAAGAATGTTATTGAAATTTTGATAGGGGTTGTGTTAAATCAGTATATTGTTTTTGGTAGTATGAATGTTTTAATAATATTAATGTTTTTGATCCATGATCAGTGAGCACAGGATATCTATTTATTTGTGTCTTATTCAATCAATGTTTTATAGTTTTCAGTATACTTTCACCCCTTGGTTAAATTTATTCCTAAGTATTTTTTTGATGCTATCATAAATGGCATTGTTTTCTTGATTATTTTCAGCTGGGTCATTATTTATGTATAGAAATGCTACTGATGTTTGTATGTTGATTTTGTATCCTGCAACTTATTGAATTCATTTATTAGTTCTAAAAATTTGTGTGTGTGTTTGTGTGTGTGTGTGTGTGTGTGTGTGTGCATGTGTAGAATCTTTAGAATTTTCTATATATAGGATCATATCATCTGTAAATAGAGATTATTTTACTTTCTCCTTTCCAATTTGGATGACTTTTATTTATTTTTCTTGTCTGATTGCTCTTGCTAGTACTTCCAAAACTATGTTGAATAGAAATAGCAAGAGTGAGCATCCCTGCCATGTACTAAATTGTGGAAAAGTTTTCAGTTGTCCCCAATGGATTATGATGTTAGCTGTGGGTTTCTTATAAACGACCTTTATTATGTTGAGAAACTTTCCTTCTATACCTAAAGTGTTAAGAGTTTTTGTTAAGAAAGAATGCTGAACTTTGTAAAATGCCTTTCCTGCACCAATTGAGATGATCATGTGGCTTTTATCTTTCATTCTGTTTAGCCAGTCTTGCATGTCAGGGATAAATCCCACTTGGCCATGATTCATAATTTCTTTAATGTGTTGTTGAATTTGGTTTTCGTCAATATTTATCAGAGATATTGGCCTGTGGTTTTATTTTCTTACAATATGTTTGTCTGGCTTTAGGTATCACGGTGATGCTGGCCTCACAAAATGTGTTTGGAAGTATTCCCTGTAGCTCTAATTTTTGGAAGAGTCTAAGAAGTGTTGGTAATAATTATTCTTTGAATGTTTGATAAAATTCAGCCATGAAGCCATTTGGTCCTAGGCTTTTCTATTTTGGAAAGTTTTTAATCACTTCTTCAATTTCTTTATTTGTTGTTGGAGTGTTCAAACTTTTTGTTTCTTCCCAATTCAATCTTGATGGGTTAGTTTTTCTAGAAATTTATCCAATTCTTCTAGGTCCTCCAATTTGTTGGCATAAAATTGTTCATAATAATCCCTTATGAGCATTTTTATTTCTGAGGTATCTATTGCAATGTCTCCACTTTCATTTCTGATTTTATTTATTTGAGTCTGCTTTTTTTAGTGAATCTAGCTAGGAGTTTGTAGATTTTATTTTTTCAAAGAACCAACTTTTGATTTTATTTATATTTTCTATAGTTTTACTATACTACATTTTATTTGCTTCTGTTCTGATCTTCATTATTTCCTTCCTTTTGCTCACTTTGGGTTTAGTTTGTTCTTTAGCTCCTTGGGGCATAATGTTAGTCTACTTATTTATATCTTTTTCCTTTTTTAATCTAGGCATTTATTGCTATAAACTTCTCTCTTAGAACTGACTTTGCTGCATACTGTAGGTTTTGATACATTGTGTTTCCATTGTCATTAATCTCAAAATATTTTTTAATTTCCCTCTTGATTTCTTCTTTGACCCATTAGTTCATCATAAGCATGTTCTTTAATTTCCACATATTTGTAAATTTTCCAAGATTCCTCCTGTTATTGATTTTTAGCTTCACACCATTGTGGTTGGAAACAATACTAGACATGATTTCAATCTTTTTGAATTTGTTAAGGTTTATTTTGTGGCCTAACATATGGTCTATCCTGGAGAATGTTCTATGTATGCTAGAGAAAAATGTATATTCTGCTGTTGTTGGATGAATGTAGGTCTGGTAGGTCCATTTGGTCTGAAGTATAGTTCAAATTTAGTGTTGTCTTGTTAATTTTTTGTCTGGTTGATTTCTCCATTGTTGCAAGTGGAGTACTGAAGTCCCCTATTAGTGTTATATTGCTGTATATTTCTTCCTTCATGTCCACTAATATTTGCTTTACATATTTAAGTGCTTCAATTTTGGATGCATATATGTTTACAATTGTTATGTCCTCTTGATAAGATGACCTCTTTATCATTAAATCATGACCTTCTTTGTCTCTTGGAACAGCTTTTTACTGGAAGTCTGTTTTATCTGATATAAGTATAGGCATCCCTGCTCTCTTTTGGTAACTGTCTGTTTTCATGGAATATCTCCTTCTATCCCTTTACTTTCAGTATATGCCTATTCTTAAAGTTTAAAAATGGGTCTCTTGTAGGCAGCATCTAGTTGGATCTTGTTGTTGATCCACTCAGCCATTCTATATCTTTTGATTGGACAGTTTAACCCATGTACCAGCAAGGTTATTATTGATAGTAAAAGACTTACTCCTGCCATTTTGCTAATTGTTTTCTGGTTACTTTGTAGATAATTTGTTCTCTTCTTCCTCTATTGTTGTCTACCTTTGTGGTTTGGTGGTTTAGTTTTCTGCTTTGTGGTTACAATATTGTTTTTTAAATATTCAACATGAATACACTTTCTTGTTTGGATAACATGTAAAACGTCTACAAGGAGGGATAGATAATAAGTTTTCCCTTCAGAATGCACTGCTTTGCCTGGGATGAGGAATAATTTATAATGGTAACTGTTGCTGGTTAAAATTTGGCTCCTACCCACATTCATGCAAACTCAGTGTTCTAGATTAAAAGAGATTTAAGAGACTTGCCAGGCAAATGCATGGCATCCTTAGATGTATCCTGATTTGAATAAAACAGCTATAAATAATAATATTTTTGGGATTATTGAAAAATTTGACTATAGATTAGTTTTCAGGTGATATTGGAGAATTAATGTTATTATTGTTAGGTATGTTAGCACGGTCATGCAGCAATGTGTCTTTCTTTTTAAGAGATGCATACAAAAATATTTGGGTGTGAAATGTTCTTGTGCTATAATTTGCTTTAAAATTCTTCAGAAAAAAAAGATAAGCAAAATAGAAAAACAAGATAATGGGTACATGTTATCTATTTCTTATTCTCCCTATTTTTTTGTGTGTTCAATTTTTAAAAGAAATTTACTCCATACATATATGCCACCCCCTCCACTAAGGACCCCCAAACTATAAATTGCTGTGAATATAAGAAAAAGTGAAACAATTCTATGATTTTGAGAGAAAGTCAACACTGTAGGAAAAAGAGAGCCCAGGATTTGGGCTAAAAATCATTAATCTGACCCTGATCAACCCTGTGGCCTTCAGCAGTAACTCAGCCTCTCAGGCCTTTGATTTGTTCATGTGTAAAATGAGGGTCATTGTCATTTAGACAACGACCTTCAGGGTATGTTTTAATGTTAAAATTCAGAGTCCTTCCATATCAGATAAGCATCAACTATTCAATAGTTTATGCTGAAGAGTACAGGGGACCAAGAGACCACCCAAATGGGTTCATGAGCCCATCATGCCACTTCTTTGTTGGATCACTTTGGGCACCTCACTAAATTTTTCTGAGCTAGGTCCTCTGCACCTTGCTTGTCTATCATCAAAGGGTCACTGTGAGACTATAATAATATAAGAGGAAGGAAATCGTGATTATTAAGGCATATACTGAACCACATACCTCCATTGGCAACATTAAACTTCACTCCAAACTCTCCCCCTGGTCCTCCAGGGCAGTGGCTGGCTGTTAGAATGATTCCACCAGCTGCCTTGATCTTCCTGATAATGCAGGAGACCGCAGGTGTTGACAAGATGCCATTCTGTCCAATAATCAGTCATCCAATCTAAACCATCCAAAAAAAAAAAAAAATCAATACAGTTGCTTGGGATTAAAGGCATTTCAACAGGAAAGTGCCCCAGGCTCTGTTAACATACAGCCAATCACTTGATAAAAGAAACAGAGTAGGCTTTAGATTAGGGGAGGCAGGGTAGGGGGAGCACTGACATTGTCTCTCCTATCTAATGTCTCTAAGACCATTTGGGGCACCTGCATCTAGTAGTCAATTATTAACCTGTAAATAGGATATGCCTCATTGATCTTCAGTCGTTTGAAACATCTGCTTCTGATAATCGAGGGGTTAGCTTGAATCACACAAGAAGTTCTTAGTTTGCTACTGACTCAGAAACTATGCATGTGAACATGCTAGAGATTACAAGAAAAAAGAAATGGAGTGCTTCTCTGCTTCTTCTGCTTCCTGTAACTTAGAACAAGCTCAGAGAGCAAGGGGACTGACTTAGTACAACCTCATGATCTGTGGGCATATTTTAACTGTAATCTTCAGGAATGACTTTTCTCCTGAAAGTAGGAATTCTCTTTCTGCTGTTAAGTGACAGCATGTGCTGGAGACATTGGAGAAATTACCCAGTCATGCTAAGCAGAGATCTGGAGGTCATCCATGGATGCAGCCAGATTCTTTCTAGAGCTACAAAACTGACTTTCTAAAAAGTCAGCAACACAGCGCTGAAGAACATTTATTGCTACACCTTATTTTAAAATTGGATTCAATATCATCCAATCTAGTAGTTCTCAATATTTCTACAAAATAGAATCACTTATGAAACTTTTTAAAATCCTAGTACTCAAACTGCATTCTAGACTGATGATATTGCAATCTCTGGGGTTGAGAGCCCAGCATTAGTAGTTTTAAAGCTCCACAGATGATTCCAATGTTCAGCCAAGCTCGGTAATAAAGCCCCCTTGTTACTCAAAGGGCTGGCAGCATGGGCATCACCTGCAAGCTTGATAGAAATGCAGAACCTCAGCTGGGCATGGTGGCTCCACCTGAAATCCCAGCACTTTGGGAGGCTGAGGTGGGCAGATCACTTGAGCTCCAGAGTTCGAGACCAACCTGGCCAACGTGGTGAATCCCTATTTCTACTAAAAATACAAAAATTAGCTGAGCATGGTGGTGCACGCCTGTAGTCCCAGCTACTCCGGAGGCTGAGGTGGGAGAATTGCTTGAACCTGGGAGGCAGAGGTTGCAGTGAGCTAAGATGGCACCACAGCACTCCAGCCTGGGCTACAGAGTGAGACTCTGTCTGAAGGAAGAAAGGAAGGAAGGAAGGAAGGAAGGAAGGAAGGAAGGAAGGAAGGAAGGAAAGAAAGAAAGGAAGGAAAGAAAGAAAGAAAGGAAAGAAAGAAAGGGAAAGAAAGAGAGAGAAAGAAAGAGAAAGAAAGAAAAAAGAAAAAGAAAGAAAGAGAAAGAAATAGTAAAAGAAAGAAAGAGAAAGAAAGAAATGCAGAACCTCAAGGCCCACCCAAGGCCTACCTAATAAGAACCTGTATTTTAATAAGATCCTCTCCTCTCTTCCCAGATAATTCATTTGATAAGTACTGATATAACCAACAAGCCAAAACAAACCTTAACATACAGTTCAACAACAAAGTTGCCCTGGCACCATCATTGCTAGAGGTCAGTCACTGACCAAATATAACAATCAGCGAGATCAGGGGAAAAAAATTACAGAAGAGATCAAAACACACACACACACACACACACACACACACACACACACACACACAGAGCTCAAAAGCAAAGTGGCCTTGGGATGATTTAGTATGGAAATCCACAAGATCCCCAGGCTACATATTTTAAAGTAGAGGAGACAGATTATAAACAAATAATAATAATAATAGTTACTAGTGAGGTACATATTAGGAAGGAATTAGACTGCTGTAATAGAGAATAAAGGACGTCAATTTTAATAATAATATAATAATAATAGCTAAGGGAGCTTAGATTTTATTCTAAGTACAACCAGAATCCATTGAAAGGTTTTAAACAGTGGAAGTGACCTGATTGCATTTTTAAACATCATGGGCTGAGCAGCCCAAATGGTCCTATTAAAAAGTAAGTCACATCAAGTCACTAAAACATTCCAATAGCATTCCTTGTCCCCCACCAACCCAAAACAAAGCCAAAGTCTTCATTGTAGTCTACAAGGCCCTACATAATCTGACCTCCATCATGTACCATTCTCTATCGCCCTCCCGCCCTCCTTCTTCTGTTCCAGCCACAACGGAACAGAACAGCTATTCCTCAAACATACCAAACATGATCCTGCCTCAGGGCCCTTGCATTTTCTTTTTCCTCTGCTTAGAATACTTGCCCAGATATTAACATACCTGCCCTCTACTGTCTTTTGGGTTTCTGTTTCAATGTAAGCTAATGAGAGATAGCACCCTTGACAGCCCTATATAATACTATAGCCAGAAGTCCCTAACTTTTCTATTGTTTCCTATTTCCTTCACCCTGCTATAATTTTCTGGATCACATATGTTGCCTTTAACATTTTCCATATTATTTATTTTCCCACTGTATGTAAAGCCCAAGGACTTTTTTTCACTGCTATATCCCAAGAACCTAAAATAAATCTGGCATGTGGTAAGCGTACAATAAATATTTGTTGAATTAATGAATGGAGAATAATGAATGCATGATGAATGGCTTCTCTGGGAGAAATACCTTGAAGGGGGGCAAGAGCAGAAAGAGGAATATCAGACGGGACACTCTTCAAGTCGAGTGTTGATAGAGTCTTGGACTAGGCTAGAGCCAACAGAAATGAAAATTAGTCATTTGGTTTGAGATACATTTTTGGAAGGAGGATGAACAGAATATGCAGGTGGACTGGAATATTGAAGAGAGGGGCTGTGGTAAATAGCCTCCAAAATGGCCCCAATGGTCCTTGCCTTTTGGCATTTGTGCCTTTTTGTGGTCCCCTCCCACACTGAACGATGCAGATCTGGGTAATCTGTATATATTGCAGAAGTGTTTGTGTGTGACTTCCATGGTGAGGCCATAAATGGCATGGACACTTCTGCCCTGCTCTCTTGGACAGCTTATTTTGGGAGAGGCCAGCTGCCATGTCATGAAGACACTCAAGAAGCCCTGTGAAGAGGAAGCAAGGCCTGCCAACAACAGCCAGCACCAACTTTCCAGCCAAGGGATTGAGCCATCTCACAGTGGATCCTCCAGCCCCCACCAAGCCTTCATATGACCAAACCAATACCAACATGTAACTGTGACCTCATGTGAGTCCCCAAGCCAGAATACCCATCTCCTGTCTCAGAAATGATGAGAAATAATAAATATATGTGCTCACACACATTACCATCTAATTTTCTACAATATATGTTTATTTCCCCACTGTATATAAGATCCAAGGACTGTTTTTTTTTTTCACTGCTATATTCCAAGAACCTAGAACAAATCTGGCATATGGTAAGTATACAATAAATATCTGTTGAATTAATTAATGGGAAAAAATAAATGAATGATGAATGGCTGCTCTGGAAAAAATACCTTGAAGAGTGGCAGGAGCGGAAAGAGGAGGATCAGATGGGAGGCTAACAGCCAGCACCACCTTGCCAGCCAAGTGACTGAGCCATCTTGCAGTGGATCCTCCAGCCCCCATCAAGCCCCAACTAAGCCACTAAGTTTCATGGTAATTTCTTACACTGCAATAAATAACTAATACTGGACCAGTGAGAAAAGGAGTCAAGAATAATCTCAGCTTTCTACCTTTAATAACTTAATGGATAGTGGTGCTATTAATCAAGTCAGGAAAGAGAAAGGACAATAATTACACCTATAGTATTACCCAAAGTCATGATAAATTATTTTCCATATGCTCTTGCTAAAATTTATGTAGTCATTCAACTCATTTTATTGAATATCTACCATGAAACCGGCAATATGGAAGAACCTTCTGATATAGAACTGAATATAATTTAGTCACTGCCCTCAAGTAATAAGTCTGGAGAATCAAGAATCTGAAAAATGTTTGTAGCTTTTGTTCAAAATTTTCTCTCAGCCATTTAAAGGGAAAATTATGAAGATTGTATAGTGGTGACAGACTGGGATAGCAGTCCACAAAAACTTAGGAAGCCCTTCCATAGCACAGAGTCAATGCTGAGGAACAGCTGCCCAGCCAGGGGCTACATTTTCCACCCCACCCTTGCATCTAGGTGTGGCCACATGGTGCATTTGGACAATGGGTGATAAACTAGTATGAGAATAAGAACAGAAGTAATGTGTGTTTCTTCTAGGCTGAGGATATCAGAAAACAGACATATCATCTCTACACTGCTTATTTCTCTTTCTACAGATTCAGTACAGGTAATCATGTGGCTCTAGGCAATGCCAGAGTCACAAGAGGGAAGGAAACTGAGTCCCCATCCCATTTGGTAGACAAGAGTCTTTGCCCACCAGGGACATCCTCATTGGACTATTGTGTGAGTGAGAAATAACATTCTATTGTTTTTAAGGCAATAAAAATTGCCTACATTTCAGGTTTATTTATTACAATCACCCACATTTTCTTAAGCAGTAGCGAAAGAAACATAAACAATAGTTTAATGCCAAATCAAAAATGTCAAATGCAAAATTATTTTATGCTATTACAGTATAAAATTATGTCCACTTTGGGGCAAGGACTTAGAAAAATGCAGAAATAAACATGTAAAGTTATTAAGTAGGAATGATTATAGATACATTTTTATCTTATTAAATTTCAGTTATTTTTGAAAAGGTAATATACATTCTGTTTAAGAAGGTTAAAGTGAGTAATTACACTTGAATGAAGTTTCAACCTGAAATACTTTAGTTATAATTGGAGAATTAACAGAAGATTAAATTCTAGATATCTGGAAATTTTACCTATGTGAGATCTGCTCATTAACCCATCAATACCAGAGAGAAGAGGTATTGCTGGACATGGTCCTATCATCTGGGGGATAAGTACTGGAGGAGATGTGAAAGAGAGGGTGATGGGGCTTCTAAGGTAAGACATGGAAAATTGTGAAGATATTTGTGTCCCTTATGGACACTCACCAAATGGTGACCTAGGCAGAGGAGGATTTTAATAATAGGATGACCAGTTCTGTGGATGTCAATGAGTGGCTTTCCCCCAGCCATTCCTGTCATTGTCCAATGGGCTCATGAGCCAAGTGGCTGATATGGTTTAGATGTTTGTCTCCTCCAAATCTCATATTGAAATGTAATCTTCAGTGTTAGCGGTGGGGCCCAGTGAGAGGTGTTTGGATCATGGGGGCGAGTCCCTCATGAATGGTTTAGCACCATGCCCTTGATGATAAATGTGTTCTCGCTCTGAGTTTACATGAGATCTGCTTGTTTAAAAGTATGTGGCACCTTCTCTTTTGTTCTCTTGCTCCCACTCTTGCTGTGTGATATGCCTGCTCCCACTTTGTCATCCGCCATGTGTAAAAGCTCCTGAGGCCTCACCAGAAGCCAAGGAGATGCCGGCACCAGGCTTGTACAGCCTTCAGAACCATGAGCTAAGGAAACTTCTTTTCTTTGTAAATTACCCAGCCTAAGGTATTTCTTCATAGCAATGCAAGAATGCTGTAATACCATGGCCGTGATGGCAGGGATGAAGGCTATGCATGGGCTCAACAACATGGACTTTCACTCACCAAGGCTGACCTGGCTATGGCCACTGCAGAGTGCCTACTCTACCAGCAGCAGGGACCAACACTGAGTCTCCTTATGGTACCATTCCCCAAATGATCAGCCAGCTACCTGGTGGTAGATTGGTTAATTTGGGCCACTTCCATCATGGAAGATGCAGCACTTTGTACTTACTAGAATAGACACAAAGAAGAGGAGATATGAAGACAGATGCAAAGATTGGAGTGATGCAGCCACACCCGGGAAGCCAAGGAATGTATTCTGCTGCCAGAAGCTGGAAGAGGCAGGGAGCAGATTCTCCCTAGAGCATCTACAGAGTGTGGCCATGCTGATACCTTGATTTTGACTTCTGGCCTCCAGAACTGTGAGAGAATAAATTTCTGTGATTTTAAACCACCAAATATGTGGTAATTTGTTATGGGAGTCCTAGG